>NC_000020.11:28896362-29125693 GCF_000001405.40 Homo sapiens | reverse complement strand
GAAATCTAATTCTCACTATGAAGGCAGATAAAAGTAGTCCTTTCAACCTATAGATGAATCATTTACCAAAGCACTCAGACTTTAAATATCATTTATCAAATGTGTCTATATTTCTACGCAGATTCATAGAAAGAACATGTAGTTTAAATCATTGCACATTTTATGCTTTTAATGAGTTGTGATGTTCATTAGTATTTTTATCACATTTCCCCAAAGGTAGGCTAATTATTGTTATTATTTTCAGCTAGAAATATAAAATGAATTTTCTATTTTTGAAGACTTTGAAACATAATCCTTGGAATATAATATCTGTGTATAATATCTGTGGAAAGCATGAAAGTAACATTCAAACAGTATGCATTTTTTCCAGAATGAAAATTTCCTCTACAATAACATTCATCATTTTTTCCTGATGGGCACATAAAAGTAAACATTTCTAACATTGCTGGACGTTATTTACATTAAACTTGCCTCAGATTCAGGTGTTGCAGAAAGTGGACAAGAGGCAACAAGGTACACAATACACACACACACACACACACACACACACAAAACTTGTATTATTATACTTACCTAAGTGTCTAAAGAGGTGGATAAATGTATTAGATTGCTCCAGAACAAGGATTTTTATGGGGCCTATTGGAAAGTATGACTGCAGTTTGAGTGAGATGCCTGTAAGAGATTCAATTTTGCCACTAATAGAGTATCCAATTTTAAAAATACTGACAGAAGGGTCATGAGACAGAAATTTTCACCTAGATCTATTGGAAATATGCTACTAGATTCTGTAGTAAAAAGACTGGTGTGGTAATTGTAAAACACATCTGATATCTAAATCTTTGTTCGTTTTTTACCTGAAATCCTTATGGGGGTGACTGTGTATATCAATTTGAATCTTCCCATCAACAAGATAAATACATACATAAATAAACAGCCAGGCTGCTTGTATAAATTAGTTCACCTTTTCTATATTTTGAGGGCAGTGCTTCTCCTTTGACAGCCACAAGATTCACCCAGGGATCCCTTAAAATGCAAAACCATAGACCACACTTTGACTAGCTTGGATAAGGGGCCAGAGCATTGAAATGAGTGTGTAGGTGACTGTGCTGAGATTCTCCTGCTCATTTGGGCACTGGCTCACCAAATAAACAAAGCTTAGGACCTCTAGTCCTTGCTGGAAATGAAATACACATACATGTGATGTGACTGTGCATATGGAATATCTGTTGTGTTCTGGACATTGTGCTAGACAACAGAGATAAGAAGTCAAATAATCCCTTGTCTCTATCTGAAAAGAGCTTCCTACACACTGGCTTCTGAGGTCTTTGAAACTAGATTCACTTTCAGATTTGATTATTATATTTATGATTTGATATTTTCATTGAACCCCATGATATGATAAAGTTTTCCAGAACCTGCTAGAATAATTGACTTTCCTCTCAGCATTATGAAGCCACTGGGGCACATAAGTAGTTCATTTATGTTTCTATTTAACCAGACAGGAAAAACTTGAGCTACTTTTCTAGCCACTTTTGTTTAGAGCTGTTTTTGTTTGTTATTTTTGTTTGTTTTTGAGACGGGTCCCACTCTGTCACCTAGGCTGAAATGCAGTGGCATTATCAGAGCTCACTGCAGCCTCTACCTTCTGGCCTCAAGCAATCCTCTCACCTCAGCCTCCTGAAAAGCTGGGACCCACAGGCTCATACCACCATACCCTCCTAATTAAAACTTTTTTTTTTTTTTGTAGAGATGGTTTTTCCATGTTTCTTAGACTTTTCTCCAACTCTTGAACTTAAGCAATCTGCTTGCCTCAGCCTCCTAAATTGTAGAGCTGTGTTTTCAGTCTTTTTTTGAGCTGTTTTGCAATCCAGTTTTGAATTGGTAAGTTTAGATTCATTCTGACATTTACAGATTTTACATCCTACTTCATAAGATGCCCATAGCCTTAATCCATTACAGCCGCTGCCTCATCCATCTCTGCTTATAGCCTTGATCTATTACAGTAGCCACCTCGTCCATCTCTGCTCATAGCCTAAACTAATAGAAGCCAGAGGGAAGAAATGGACGTGAGATCAGAACACACATTTTATAAGAGTATAAGAAATTTAAATATGGCAAAGTATATCATGAAGTTTGTAAAAGATGTGCATGGCTAAAATTTATTCTTAATCAATATATTCTATAAATTGGGAGAAAATATTAAACACATGAAAAATAAGGAACTTGGGCTGGGTGCGGTGGCTCATGCCTGTAATCCCAGCACTTTGGGAGGCCGAGGCTTGCGGATCACAAGGTCAGGAGATCAAGACCATCCTGGATAACATGGTGAAACCCCGTCTCTACTAAAAACACAAAAAAATTAGCCAGGGGTGGTGGTGGGTGCCTGTAGTCCCAGTTACTCGGAAGGCTGAGGTGGGAGAATGTCGTGAACACAGGAGGCAGAGCTTTCAGGGAACCGAGATCGCGCCACTGCACTCCAGTCTGGGGACAGAGCGAGACTCCGTCGCAAAAAAATAAGAAAGAAAAGTAAGGAACTTTCATCATTAATATATAACTAATATGACAAGAATGTGGTTTATGTTTTTATTTTTGCAAGATTTAGGAACATTTAGTGGAAGGAGGAAGAATTTATAATCATGGAGAGCGTGTATGATACTGGAGGGAGGCTTCTGACAATGGGGAAATGGCATCACGAGGTATGCTATGGTCATAGCTATGTGGGAGCGCAGCTAGCTATGGTCTCCCCCATCAAACCCACTGGGCAGTGTTCAGTTACCAACATTGAGATAGAGCTCACCCACCCAGGACAGAAGAGAAAATATACACTGCAGTCAGAAGCCACTGTGTAGGAAGCTCCTTTCAGAAAGAGGCAAGGGATATTTGACTTTTCATGTCTAGTGTCCAGTACAATGTCGAGAACACAACAGACATTCCATATGCACAGTCACATCCTATGTATCTGTATTTCTTTTCCAGCAGGGACTGGAGGTCCTAAGCTTCGTTAATATGGTGAGCCAGTGCCCACATGAACAGTAGGATCTTAGCACTGTCACCTGGACGTCCATTTAAATGCTCTTGTCTTAGCTAGTCAAAGTGTGGTCTACGAGTTTGCATTTTAATAAGATTCCAGGGTGAATCTTGTGCATGTTATAGGGAAGCACTGTCCTACATCATATGTGACAGGCTCTCATAGTCACCATCATCACAGGAATCTTGCACACGTTACAGGGAAGCACTGTCCTACATCACATGTGACAGGCTCTCATAGTCACCATCATCACGGGAATCTTGGGCATGTTACAGGGAAGCACTGTCCTACATCATATGTGACAGGCTGTCATAGTCACCATCATCATGGGAATCTTGCACACGTTACAGGGAAGCACTGTCATACATCATATATGACAGGCTGTCATAGTCACCATCATCACGGGAATCTTGTGCATGTTACAGGGAAGCACTGTTCTACATAGTATCTGACAGGCTCTCATACTCACCATCATCACGGGAATCTTGCACACATTACAGGGAAGCACTGTCCTACATCATATGTGACAGGCTGTCATAGTCACCATCATCACGGGAATCTTGCACACGTTACAGGGAAGCACTGTCCTACATCATATGTGACAGGCTGTCATAGTCACCATCATCACGGGAATCCTGTGCATGTTACAGGGAAGCACTGTCCAACATCATATGTGACAGGCTGTCATAGTCACCATCATCACGGGAATCTTGTGCATGTTACAGGGAAGCACTGTTCTACATAGTATCTGACAGGGTCTCATAGTCACCATCATCACGGGAATCTTGCACACGTTACAGGGAAGCACTGTCCTACATCATGTGACAGGCTCTCAGAGTCACCATCACCAGGGGAAGCTGCATTTAGAGCATTTAACTACATGGGCTCTGAAATCAGGTAACTTAGGTTTAGACTTACTTCTACTTCTTACTAAGCAGAGAACTCTGGGGTGAAAACTTTACGAGATCCAGTTTTATCATGTCCAAATTGGAGGCATGGTGAAATTATAGCATTTTGCATAGAATATTGTTTTAAGTATAAAATGAAATAGTACATAATAAGTTTCTGCCATACACTGACTGCACAATAAATATTAGTTAATAGTAACTCATTTAATCCTAAGGTCTATAAATTTGTGCACAATAATTTTTGGTGACTACCCAAATTTTCATAATTAGTCTAGATTTAAAATCAAGGAATGTTCTTACGTGTAGTTGGCAATCAATATGACATGTCAAAATTATATGTAAGTATTTTATTGATGGTGGGGATATAATAAATTTACTATCAAAAGAGAGACAGTAATCTATGTTTGCAGACTCCAGAAAGCTGTCTCTCACATAAGAATTTGCAATTTCTGGGGGAAAAGAAAAAGTTGATTGTGCAAAGAAACATTACCATGGAGTCTTCTCTATGGCAACATCAAAAATGAAAGCTGATTCTCATCTTCCTAACAATCTACAAAGATGAGAGAAACACAACCTACTGAGCATCAAGTTAAAGAAGGAGAGAATTTGAGTGGCACAGGAGGAAATCATGTCACCGCTAGCGAAATCAATATGACCAATGCTCCTCTGCCCTCCTCCGAGGCTAAGGATAGGTTAAATATCAGTGGCTGACCTCAGGTAATGGAATGAGCAAAAAAGCTATAAAAATCCATGCATTACATAATTAAGAGGGTGGGAAGGGATTTTTTTAAAAAGGCAATTCCTACTTGGTTTCCTTCCTGTTCACCCCATTGGCAAAGAAGCTAGTCTTGTCCTAGAATTCTGGGAATGGCTGCAGACAAAACAAACACTGAGCAGACGAAATTCCCAGTAATTTACTCGTCACACATACTCAGCCAGGGGGATGACACTGCATTTATGCAGGTCTACCCAGGGTTGCACTCTGGAACAGAGGGTGTGGGAGGCAGGCTTGGTGGAAATCAGAGGGTGGGGTAACCCCTGGTCCCTTCAGGGATGTGCTTGACTAATTCAGAGTTTTGCAGTCTGGTGGGGGCATGAAAGCCATTAGGCTGAGGACATGGTGGGGTGCTGCATGAAATTTTAGGTGTCACAATACAATTGACCCCTGATGCTTTAACATCAGACATTTATTTTCATGATGACTAATATTATGAGAGGCTGACAGAAAGCTGCTGAGACATTGTAATAAGTGCTTAGGGACATGAGAAATTAGGAAGGCCACAGTTATGAATAATGTAATGTGGAAACCGATGCAAATCTACTGCCCCCATTTATTTAGCAGGAGGCAGGAAAAGTGATCTGGGGTCTCTGGCAGCACAAGCCTGTTCGTAAATATTTGGGTGACGTCATGCATTCCCCATGCATTGGTTTAGAGATCTGGGGTCTCTGGCAGCACAAGCGTGTTCATAAATATTTGGGTGACGTCATGCATCCCCCATGCATTGGTTTTCATGTCTCCAGTGAGTTGCTGGGCAAGTCTGATATTACTGATCCACACGCAGCAGGCAGCTTCCTGTACGGAGCTACCTCCACCCCTTGGACAGTCCGGGACTGAATGGTTGTCAAAAATGTGAACTCCTTGATGTCCAGTAAAGGCAACTGAGGGAACTGTGTAGCATTGGTGTAAAAAGTGCACTTTCCTAAGAAGCATGAACTTAAGAGTAATCAAAGCCTGTGGCAACAGTGGAACCCAGCAGGGCATCCACTTGCTGCTTTGTAACTTAAATAGGAATTCTTTGAGGAGCTCAGTCTATCTCTCAACTAAAGCAGCTGCCTGCAGCCTGTAGGGGCAGTAGAAGCCCTACTGGACACTTTCACAAGCCTAGCACTGTGTTTTCTGATGAAATGTTGCCTTGGTCACCATCAGTAGTGTCTGGAACTCTCTGCAGGGGATAAGGAGTGTCCCTGTGAGATCCGTACTGTGTCCTTGGTTAAAAAAAGGCATCTGTTACCTTGACTGTATTCTGAGTATCCATGAGGCAAGAAGTTTCTTTAATTCAATGGGGAGGGAAGGTGGACAATTCTTGGCAATTGCCAAAAATTTGTAAAAATGTACAAATGGGGCTAATTGTTGGCCTAGCATCAGTGCTGAGATGACCACCTCAAGTTTGGCCAGTTGTGCTGAGGCTTTTGTGTTATCCTTTATCAGGGACATCCTAGCTAAGCGAGGGAAGACAGCAGCATCCCACTGTGCTCCATCACGTCAGATGATGGCATCCATTCAGAAGGTGGACAAACTTCACTGCTGGTCACTCAGTCGATCCCAAAGGGCCTCGGAGATGGCTGACTTCCAGCAACACAGACTGAGGATGAAGGAGGCCAGTGTTTCCTGCAGATGAGAATGGCAGGGGGTCCAGGTTTGACTCCATCCTGACGCAAGGAGGTCTCTGCAGCTGTGCCAAGGCTGTGGGGTGCTTCTTCCCAAGGCCTGATGACCAGATGGGCATGAAGGCTCGTGGACATGGATGCAGAGCGCTCTGTTTCCAGAGGGTCCAGCATGTGGTCAGCAATCACTGCCCTGATGCTGTACAGAACAGGGTCAAAAGGGGCAGTTTTTTTTTTTTACATCAGAAGCCCATGGACTACTTATGGCCACCATATGCAACCCAGATACTTCAGGAGGCATAGGAAGAGGTTGCTAAAGCGTCCACAGTGTGTTCTCTGAGGGAATTCATAGGAGCACCTGTTAATTTAAATTCGGACAGATTCCAGACTTGTTGGAGGAGGCTTCATTCAAGGTGGGTCAGTTTGCCAATGACAGCATCAGTGAGATTAAGTAAGATTTGTAAATAAGAAATATATTGTCACCTGAACCCCAAGTAAAGAATTAAAGGGCTGGGCACAGTGGCTCACACCTGTGATCCCAGAACTTTGGGAGGCTGAGGCAAGAGGATCGCTTCACCACAGGAGTTTGAGACCAGCCTGGGTAACATAGCGAGACCTTTTCTCTACAAAAATATAAACAAAATTAGCTGAGTGTCATGGCACACACCTGAAGTCCTAGCTACTTGGAAGGCTAAGATGGGAGAATTGCTTGATCTCAGGTCGAGGCTGCAGTGAGCTGAAATCGTACCACTTCATACCAGCCTGGGTGACAGAGCAAGACTGTGCCTCCAAAAAACAAAACACAGATTAAAGAATATTAGGCTTGTATTAACATTTTAGACGCTGAGAGGATGAATAACTATTTTTTGAAAGTCTCAGGAATAGGGCAGCCCCATATTTACCAAGGAATTTTCAGGAATTGAAGCAAAGTGGCAGGGCCTTGCACTACTGTGTTGGGAAAGGTCCATTCCCTTTGTGTAAGCCTCCTTGTATCTGTGTGTCCTTAGTTTGTAAAATGAATTTTCTCTGAGAATGATGTCATCAGTATAATATCACACCTGTGCTCCTGTAGAAAGGTGGTTGCAGTGAGATCTTGTCTGTGAAGATTGCATGCAATGACGCGGCTGCCAAGGCACTCCGTGGGTCGCCTGGTCCCTTCACAGATGAAGGCAGACTATGACTGAGACTCTGTTAAAATAGGCACAAAAATAACATGGTAGCCAAATCTGTAACAACAAAATATTTTATCAGTTGCATGAATATATATAGGTTTATTGTAAGGAATTGGCTCATGTGGTTATGGAGGCTAAGAAGTCCCAGGACCTGCAGTCAGCAAGCTGGAGAACTAGGACTGCCAATGTTGGAGTTCCAGTACAAGCCTAACGTCCGAGAATCAGGAAAGCTGATGGCATAAGTTACAGTCCACGTCTGACTTCAAAGGCGAGAGAAGATCTACGTCTCAGCTCTGAAATAATCAAAGAGAGTGAATTCTCTCTTCCTCTACCCTTGTGTTTTATTTGGGATTTAATGGATTGGATGAGGCCCACTCACACTGGGGAGGGTAACTACTTTACTAAGTCTACATATTCAAATGTTTGTCTCATCAAGGAACACCCTCACAGACACATCCAGAGTGTTTAACCAAATATCTAGGCAACCCAACTTGGCAAATAAAATTAACCATCATAAGGTGAAAGAGGTACACGATCTGAAGAGAAACCAGGGATGCAGGATGGTTAAACATCTGCAAGTCAATAAATGTGATACACCGTAAAAACAGAATTAAAAACAAAAATCACATGATCCTCTCAATACATGCAGAAAAAGGATTTGACAAAATCCATCATCCCTTTATGCTTAAAACCCTCAGCAAAATTGACATAGAAAAAGCATTTGACAAAATCCAGAATCCCTTTATGATTAAAACCCTCAGCAAAATCAACATCGAAGGGACATACCTTAAGGTAATAAAAGCCATATATGACAAACACACAGCCAACATTATGTGGAATGGGGAAAAGTTGAATGCATTCCCCCTGAGAACTGGAACAAGACAATGATGCCAACTTTCACCACTTCTATTCAACATAGTACTAGAAGTCCTCGCCAGAGCAATCAAATAAGAGAAATAAAGGGCATCCAAATAGGTAAAGAGGAAGTCGAACTGTCACTCTTTGCTGATGACATGATCGTATACCTAGAAAACCCTAAAGACTCATCCCAAAAGCTACTAGAAGTGGTAAATGATTTCAGCAAAGTTTCAGGATAAAAAATGTACACAAGTCAGTGGCTCTGCTATACAGTAATAGTGAACAAGCTGAGAATTAAATAAAAAACCCACTCTCTTTTACAATAGCTGCAATAAAACCCTTAGGAATATTATAATTCCTATAATTATAATAGTATATTCCTATAATTGTCAATTGCAGGCAATCTTTGCAGACCACATCTTAATTATATCCAGAATACTTAACCAAAGAGACAAAAGACCTCTACAAGGAAAACTACAAAACACTGCTGATAGAAATCATAGATACAAACAAATGGAAACACATCCCATGCTCACGGATGGGTAACATCAATATTGTGAAAATACCATACTGCCAAAAGCAATCTACAAACTCAATGCAATCCCCATTAAAGTACCAACATCAGTCTTCACAGAACTACAAAAATTCACACAGAACTAAAAAAGACATAGAAGGGACATACCTTAAGGTAGTAAAAGCCTAGAACCAAAAAAGAGTCTGTATAGCCAAAGCAAGACTAAGCAAAAATAACAAATCTAGAAGCTGACTTCAAACTACACTAGAAGGCCATAGTCACCAAAACAGCATGGTACTGGTATAAAAATAGCCATAAAGACCAATGGAACATAATAGAGAACACAGAAATAAAGCCAAATACTTACAGTCATCTAATCTTCAACAAAACAAACGAAAACATAAAGCAGAGAAAGAATACCCTATTCAACAAATGGTGCTGAGATAAATGGCAAGCCACACATAGAAGAATGAAAGTGGATGCTCATTTCTCACCCTATTCGAAAATCAACTCAAGATGGATCAAGGACTTAAATCTAATACCTGAAACCATAAAAATTCTAGAAGACGACATTGGAAAAAACCTTCTAGACATTGGCTTAGGCAAAGACTTCATGACCAATAATCCAAAAAGCAAATGCAACTAAAACAAAGATAAATAGATGAGACTTAATTAAACTAAAAGACTTCTGCGCAGTAAGAGAAATAATCAGCAGAGTAAACAGATAACCTACAGAGTGGGAGAAAATCTTCGCAATCTGTACTTCTGATTAAAGGACTAATACCCAGAATCTGCAGGAACTCAAACAAACCAGCAAGAAAAACATCCCATCAAAAAGTGGGCTATGGACATGAACAGACAATTCTCAAAAGAAGATAAGCAACTGGCCAACAAACACATGAAAAAATGCTCAGCATAACTAATTATCAGGGAAATGCAAATCAAAACCACAATACAATATGACATCCCTTCACTCCTGCAAGAATGGTCATAATCAAAAAATCAAAAACTAATAGATGTTGACATGGATGTGGTAAAAAGGGAACACTTTTACACTTTTTGGAGGGAATGTAAACTAGTACAACAGCTATGGAAAACAGTGAGGAGATTTCCAAAGAAGTAAAAGCAGATCTATCATTTGATCCAGTAATTCCACTCCTGGGTATCTACTCAGAGGAAAATAAGTCATTATATTAAAAAGATACTTGCACACACATGTTCATAGCAGCACAATATGTAATTAGAAGAATTTGAAGTCAGCCTAAATGCCCATTAATCAGTAAGTGGATAAAGAAAATGTGGTATAAATATTTACCACATGAAATACTACTCAGCCATAAGATGGAATGAAATAATGCATTCACAGCCACTTGGATGAAACTGGACACCATTATTCTAAGTGAAGCAACTTAGGAATGGAAAACCAAACATTGTATGTTCTCATTCATAAGTGAGAGCTAAGCTATGAGGATGCAAAGGCATAAGAATGATACAATGGTCTTCGGGGACTCAGGGAAAGGCTGGGAGTGGTGGGGTGGGTGCGGTGAGGGATAAAACACTACACAATGAGTACAGTGTACACTGCTTGGGTAATGCGTGCACCACTAATCTCAGAAATCGCCACTAAATAACTTATTCCTGTAACCAAAAACCACCTGTTTCCCAAAAACCTATTGAAATAAAAAGAAAACCAACATATTCCCCAAAAACCTATTGAAATAAAAAAAAAATTAACCACAATATTAGGCATTGGGTATGAGGGTCTGAATGGATGGGATCACTGCAGTCACATTACAGTAATCCACTGTGAAACACTATTTATTATTTGCAGGTTTAAGAACAGGACAAATTCTACTGCTAAACGTTGAAGCAATGAGGATTATCACCCCTTCACTAATTAAATAGGTATTATATAGTAAGTTTTATTTATTTGAAGTCATGTTGTAATTTATGTTGGATCATATTTGATAATTTATCAAGATGGGGAGGCTAGGCACGGTGGCTCACACCTGTAATCCCAGAACTTTGGGAGGCCGAGGCAGGAGGATTGCTTGAGGCCAGAAGTTAGAGACCAGCCTAGGCAACATAGCAAGACTCCACTTCTATAATTTTTTTTAACTGGCTGTGCTGGTGCATGCCTGTAATCCCAGCTACTTGGAAGGCTAAAATGGGAGGATTGCTTGAGCCCAGGAGTTCAAGGCAGCAGTGAGCTATGATTGTGCCACCGCACTTGATTCAGCCTGGGTAATGGAGCAAAACCCCATCTCTAAAAAAAATGAAAAATTAAAAATAAATCAAATAAAAAAAAACAGGAGAGGGAGTTCTGTAAGGTTACATTTGGTGAAGTCAATGTGTAAGCTCAAATGATTTAATATCAATTTGTTACTCATTAGGTAAGAGCATCCATGTCCCCTACGGACAAAGGCTTCTATGACTACGGGAAATTTAGTCAAGGTAACAAATGTGAGGCATAACTATGTGTCCTCTATTCTAGATGCAGTTACTCTGCTAGGATTAGGGGATGCAATGTTTAAATTTAGTGAAATCACAGGTATAACAAAGTTTGAGCTCCAGTATTTATTAAGTTTGTGAAGGTATGCCAATTGGTAGATTTCAGCAGATGTTAAAATTGATTCGAATATATGCTGGAGAGTTACAAATACCAATCAGCATCCTTTTACCTTTGGACTGTATAAGTTATTTTAGAAAATAGTACATTTCCAATTAGGTCAGATGATAGACTTCCGTTTTAATTTAAATTTTGTTTTTGTGCATATCCAAGTTCCTTCCCTTCCTTCCTTCCTTCCCTCCTTCCTTCCTTCCATCTTTCCTTCCTTCCTTCCCTCTTTCCTTCCTTCATTCCTTCCCTCTTTCCTTCCTTTTCTTCCTTCCCTCCTTACTTCCCTCTCTCCTTCCTCCCTTCCCTCCCTCCCTCCCTCCTTCCTTCCCTCTCTCCTTCCTTCTTTCCTTCCTTCCTTCCTGTCCTCCTTCCCTCTCTCCTTCCTTCATTCCTTCCTTCCCTCTCCTTCCTTCCTTCCTTCCATCCCTACCTCCCTCCTTCCCTTCCTTCCTTCCCTCTCTCCTTCCTTCCCTCCTTTCTTCCCTCTCTCCTTCCTTCCCTCCTTCCTTCCTTCTCTCTCTCTCATTTTTTTTGCCACTGGATATGGGGAAGGTTGTTCTCTTTCCCACTCATATTTATAATTTCTTTCTTTGAAACAGCCCCAAATCAGTATCTTCAGAGTTAAGGTCCTCCTTGTGAGCAGATTGTGTGGCTTAAGAACCCTAGACTTAAGTCAGGTTTGGATTTCTCCCTTCTCTCTGCCTCAGGGGTACCACAGGTGTCTTTTCCTATAACCCTGGGAATTAGATCTTTGTTGTGGCAGAATCATAAGTCACAGAGCGATGCAGCACAACCAGCCCACAATTCAGGGGTCAGTGGATTGAAATCACCTTCTGCTACGGCTCCATCTGGTTCTTCCAGGACTTCCCTCCCCCCCTTTTTTTTCCTTTTGTGGTATTGAAACTTTAGTGGTATATACATTGCCTCATAATTAGTAAAAACTCCCCTTATCCCACATCATGGATTAAAGAGAACATTGCCAGGAGCCCTTCACTCTTCTAGAAGGACTTTATTTGACAGGTAATTTTTCCATGGTTTAGAATAAAAGAGGTAATAACTAGAAATATCTCCCACATAGTAGGCTCTACAGCAAATTCTACTTTAAAGGCTGTTGTTCATGTCTTTAACTGTGGCTGCCCTTAATGTTTTTGTCATCCACAGAAAATTGTCTCATTTTGGTCCTCTTTAAATGATGGTTTTATAATCAGCTATAAAATTTAACAGATGCCCTTAAATGCAGGATTCTGATTAATAACGCTGGAGATTGTGACATTACAATAGAGGGAAAACTTTCAAATAGAAGAGTGAATGATGTTTGGGCTACTTTGGACTGTATTTTTCTAAATGTTATTAATATGTGTTCCAAAATTATTGGAAACTTCTATAGAAATGTAATCTCCAGTGTCGGAGATAGGGCCTGCTGGGAGGTGGCTGGTGCATGGGAGCAGTTTCCAGTGGTTCCCAGTGTTGGAGATGGGGCCTGCTGGAAGGTAGCTGGTCCATGGGAGCAGCCTCCAGTGGTTCCCACTTTCGGAGATGGGGCCTGCTGCGAGGTGGCTGGTCCATGGGAGCACTTTCTAATAGATAAGCATAATTACCCTAGCGCTGCTCTTGTGATAGAGTTCTCATGAGATCTTGTTGTTTAAAGTGTGTAGGACCTTCCCCCTCTCTCTCTTCCTCCTGCTCTTGCTTTCCCTTCCAACATGATTATGAAGTCTCCTGAGGCCTCCGCAGAAGCTGAGCAGATGTCAGCATCATGCTTGCTGTACAGGCTGTGGAACTGTGAGCCAATTTTCAGTACTCTTGTTATCTTTTTATTTTTTAAAATTTTATTTTAAGTTCCAGGATACATGTGCAGGACATGCAGGTTTGTTACATAGGTAAACGTGCACTATGATGATTTGCTGTACCTATCAACCCACAGCCTAGGTGCCTAGGTATTAAGCCCCACATGCGTTAGCTATTTATCCTGATGCTCTTCTTCCCCATCCCCAGTGACAGGCCCCAGTGTG
Organism: Homo sapiens; assembly: GCF_000001405.40. Lineage (NCBI taxonomy): Eukaryota > Metazoa > Chordata > Mammalia > Primates > Hominidae > Homo > Homo sapiens. The sequence continues at coordinate 29,112,196 of NC_000020.11, read as the reverse complement.
TGTTGTTCCCCTCCCTGTGTCCAGGTGTTCTCATTATTCAGCTCCCACTTATGAGTGAGAACATGTGGTGTTTGGTCTTCTGTTCCTGTATTAGTTTGCTGAAGATGATGGTTTCCAGATTCATTCATGTCCCTGCAAAAGACATGATCTCATTCCTTTTTATGGCTGCATAGTACTCCATGGTGTGTATGTACCACATTTTCTTTATCCAGTCTATCACTGATGGGCATTTGGATTGATTCCTTGTTTTTGCTAATGGGAATAGTGCTGCTATAAACATACGCGTGCATGCATCTTTATAATAAAATGATTTATAGTCCTTTGGATATATACCCAGTAATGGGATTTCTGGGTCAAATGGTATTTCTGGTTCTAGATCTTTGCAGAATTGCCAAACTGTCTTCCACAATGATTGAAGAAATTAACATTCCTACCAACAGTGCAAAAGTGTTTATTTCTCCACAGCCTTGCCAGCATCTGTTGTTTCTTGACTTTTTTTTTTATTACACTTTAAGTTTTAGAGTACATGTGCACAATGTGCAGGTTTGTTACATATGTATACATGTGCCATGCTGGTGTCCTGCACCCATTAACTCGTCATTTAGCATTACGTATATCGCCTAATGCAATCCCTCCCCACTCCCCCCACCCTAAAACAGTCCCCAGTGTGTGATGTTCCCCTTCCTGTGTCCATGTGTTCTCATTGTTCAATTCCCACCTATGAGTGAGAACATGCGGTGTTTGGTTTTTTGTCCTTGAGATTGTTTGCTGAGAATGATGGTTTCCAGTTTCATCCATGTCCCTACAAAGGACATGAACTCTTCATTTTTTTCTCCTGCATAGTATTCCATGGTGTATATGTGCCACATTTTCTTAATCCAGTCTATCATTGTTGGACATTTGGGTTGGTTCCAAGTCTTTGCTATTGTGAATAGTGCCGCAATAAACATACGCGTGCATGTGTCTTTATAGCAGCATGATTTATAGTCCTTTGGGTATATACCCAGTAACGGGATGGCTGCATCAAATGGTATTTCTAGTTCTAAATCCCTGACGAATCGCCACACTGACTTCCACAATGGTTGAACTAGTTTACATTCCCACCAATAGTGTAAAAGTTCTCCTATTTCTCCACATCCTCTCCAGCACCTGTTGTTTCCTGACTTTTTAATGATTGCCATTTTAACCAGTGTGAGATGATATCTCATTGTGGTTTTGATTTTCATTTCTCTGATAGCCAGTGATGATGAGCATTTTTTCATGTGTTTTTTTGGCTGCATAAATGTCTTCTTTTGAGAAGTGTCGGTTCATATCCTTTGCCCACTTTTTGATGGGGTTGTTTATCTTTTTTTTTTTTGTCAATTTGTTTGAGTTCATTGTAGATTCTGGATATTAGCCCTTTGTCAGATGAGTAGGTTGAGAAAATTTTCTCCCATTCTGCAGGTTGCCTGTTCACTCTCATGGTAGTTTCTTTTGCTGTGAAGAAGCTCTTTAGTTTAATTAGATCCCATTTGTCAATTTTGGCTTTTGTTGCCATTGCTTTTGGTGTTTAGACATGAAGTCCTTGCCCATGCCTATGTCCTGAATGGTATTGCCTAGGTTTTCTTCTAGGGTTTTTATGGTTTTAGGTCTAACATTTAAGTTTTTAATCCATCTTGAATTAATTTTTGTATAAGGTATAAGGAAGGGATCCAGTTTCAGCTTTCTACATACGGCTAGCCAGTTTTCCCAGCACCATTTATTAAACAGGGAATCCTTTCCCCATTTCTTGTTTTTGTCAGGTTTGTTAGAAGATCAGATGGTTGCAGATATGTGGCATTTTTTTCTGAGGGCTCTGTTCTGTTCCATTGATCTATATCTCTGTTTGGGTACCAGTACCATGCTGCTTCCGTTACTGTAGCCGCGTAGCATAGTTTGAAGTCAGGTAGCATGATGCCTCCAGCTTTGTTCTTTTGGCTTAGGATTGACTTGGCAATGCGGGATCTTTTTTGGTTCCATATGAACTTTAAAGTAGTTTTTCCATTTCTGTGAAGAAAGTCATTGGTATCTTGATGGGGATGGCATTGAATCTATAAATTACCTTGGGCAGTATGGCCATTTTCATGATATTGATTCTTCCTACCCATGAACATGGAATGTTCTTCCATTTGTTTGTATCCTCTTTTATTTCATTGAGCAATGGTTTGTAGTTCTCCTTGAAGAGGTCCTTCGCATCCCTTGTAAGTTGGATTCCTAGGTATTTTATTCTCTTTGAAGCAATTGTGAATGGGAGTTCACTCATGATTTGGCTCTCTGTTTGTCTGTTATTGTTGTATAAGAATGCTTGTGATTTTTGTACATTGATTTTGTATCCTGAGACTTTGCTGAAGTTGCTTATCAGTTTAAGGAGATTTTGGGCTGAGACAATGGGGTTTTCTAGATATACAATCATGTCATCTGCAAACAGGGACAATTTGACTTCCTCTTTTCCTAATTGAATACCCTTTATTTCCTTCTCCTGCCTGATTGCCCTGGCCAGAACTTCCAACACTATGTTGAATAGGAGTTGTGAGAGAGGGCATCCCGGTCTTGTGCCAGTTTTCAAAGGGAATGCTTCCAGTTTTTGTCCATTCAGCATATTGGCTGTGGGTTTGTCATAGATAGCTCTTATTATTATGAGGCATGTCCCATCAATACCTTATTGAGAGTTTTTAGCATGAAGTTTTGTTGAATTTTGCCAAAGGCCTTTTCTGCATCTATTGAGATAATCATGCGGTTTTTGTCTTTGGTTCTGTTTATATGCTGGATTACATTTATTGATTTGCATATGTTGAACCAGCCTTGCATCTCAGGGATGAAGCCCACTTGATCATGGTGTATAAGCTTTTTGATGTGCTGCTGGATTCGGTTTGCCAGTATTTTATTGAGGATTTTTGCATCAATGTTCATCAAGGATATTGGTCTAAAATTGTCTTTTTTGGTTGTGTCTCTGCCAGGCTTTGGAATCAGGATGATGCTGGCCTCATAAAATGAGTTAGGGAGGATTCCCTCTTTTTCTGTTGATTGGAATAGTTTCAGAAGGAATGGTACCATCTCCTCCTTGTACCTCTGGTAGAATTCGGCTGTGAATCCATCTGATCCTGAACTTTTTTGGATGATAAGCTATTGATTATTGCCACAATTTCAGAGCCTGTTATTGGTCTATTCAGAGATTCAACTTCTTTCTGGTTTAGTCTTGGGAGGATGTATGTGTCAAGGAATTTATCCGTTTCTTCTAGATTTTCTAGTTTATTTGCATAGAGGTGTTTGTAGTATTCTCTGACGGTAGCTTGTATTTCTGTGGGATCAGTGATGATATCCCCTTTATCATTTTTTATTGCACCTATTTGATTCTTCTCTCTTTTCTTCTTTATTAGTCTTGCCAGTGGTCTATCGATTTTGTTGATCTTTCCAAAAAACCAGCTCCTGGATTCCTTAATTTTTTGAAGGGTTTTTTATGTCTGTATTTCCTTCAGTTCTTCCCTGATTTTAGTTATTTCTTGCCTTCTGCTAGCTTTTGAATGTGTTTGCTCTTGCTTTTCTAGTTCTTTTAATTGTGATGTTAGGGTGTAAGTTTTGGATCTTTCTTGCTTTCTCTTGTGGGCATTCAGTGCTATAAATTTCCCTCTACACACTGCTTTGAATGTGTCCCAGAGTTTCTGTTATGTTGTGTATTTATTTGTTTAAGGCGGAGTCTTGCTGTGTCGCTCAGGCTGGAGTACAGTGGATCGATCTCAGTTCACTGCAACCTCCACTTCCCAGGTTCAAGCGATTCTCCTGCCTCAGCCTCCTGATTGGCTGGGATCACAGGCGCCTGCCACCACACCCAGGTAATTTTTGTATTTTTAGTAGAGAAGAGGTTTCACCATGTTGGCCAGGCTTGTCTTATACTCCTGGCCTCAAGTGATCCACACGCCTCAGCATCCCAAAGTGCTGGGATTACAGGTGTGAGCCACCGTGCCCGGCCTCTATCTTGTATTTGATGATGAAAATCTGTTATTGACAGTCACCCGGCCTGTTTCTTGTGTTTTATGATGAAAATCTGTTATTGACAGTAAGAGCATGGGGGCTTAGGTTAACAACAAGGTGTGAGAAAAGCATCAGTGAAATTTTGGTTCTCAAAACATTTGATGTCTTATTCCTTTTTTTGAACATGGGTAATGCTAAAAAAAGCCAGCCATTTTGAAACTTGATTTTATTGTCATGTTCTCATTTTGAAATTCATCTTATTGTTTGTACGAATTGGCAGCCGTATGTGGGAAATTTCAGTTTTGCATATTTTCAGATTATTTTCATTTTTACATCAGAGATTTTGAACAGATGCTATACAAAAGTATTCATTTATTTATTCAACAAAATTTAGTGCTGGTTATGTTGCAAGCAGTTAGTGAACTTCATGCTGTACGTGCCTGAGATACTTTCGTGAATGTAATGGCAACATCAAAAACTTTGCCCTTATGCATCTTATAAACCTTTAATTTCAAGGCATGTTGATAAGTGAACATCTGCTATAACATACTTTCATTGTCATTTAATTAACCATTATTTGGGTATACCTTATATTAAAGCTGATTATTAAAAACTGGAAAATATTTAACACATCTTTATCTTGCCTTTTTCCTTAACATATGTAGATCAAGGGAGTCGCTGAGAATCAATTTTAAGGATAGTTATAAAAATCTTAACTTTGCAACTATAACTTTGTCCTCAATGTAATAACTGGAAAAAATAATTTACGTTTCAAAGGCTTTAATCTTTGTATTTTTTTGAAAAGGAGCCTTCACCGAGATTCTTTAAAAATTCTTGCTCTGTCCTACAGTAGGAACCGATAGACTCATGGATATGGTCCTCTAATGGATCGGTACCACCTCAGCTCTCTGATTGTTGCCCTCCTGTGGTGAAAATTAAAGTTTATTTTCATTTCATGTCTAGGACGTAGTATGTTCTTGTTTGGAAAAAATGATGTTTCTTGAGAAATAAGTGCCTTCAGTATCACTGTGTGTCACTTAATAAATATGACTAATATCTACTTTTACCAATTGCTGCAATTTGATCCTTAAACAGCCATCTTTAAATTATACTTTTTCTTTGGTTAAAGAAAAGTAATTACAATAGACATTAATTATTTTTACATAATTTTCTTATGTGGACACCCATTCTTAGAACTAAAACTTTCAGATGTTTATATTACAAGTACAATTATTGTTTATTATTATTAATGTCAGTAGCCAAATGTAATCAACTCTCTTCCTTTTACTTCCTTTTTTGAATCAACATGTCACACTTATACAAGCAAGAGCAACAGCTCTATATCTGGATCACTGCAGTGCCTAGAAGATACAACAGCACAATTTACAAATCCAAATTTCCAGGAAGTCTCTGCACATACCTCTAGTACAAAAGATGTTTCAGAGACTAGAGGGTCAGAGGGCAAAGAGAGGAAATATTCAACTCCCAGTTCAGGTCAAAAGGGAAGAAAGCCTGGTGTTGAAACAAATCCAAGAATGACTGTGTCTGCAACTCGCTCCTTTCTGTAAAGTATTCATGGTGTTTTACTTAAAATATTTGCTCTTATGATGGTCAATAATATTAATAGTTATGCTTTGTAAAAGAATTTATTCTTTACTTATAATTAATGGATCATTCTAAGTTATTATATGTTTATTTGGTATAGTAAGATGATGTGAAAGATTTGTTGCCTGTTAAATGTTTCTGGGATCTTTGCTTTATTTTTATATTATGATCTGTGCTTCCAAAGTTGAGCTGTAATTTTATTATTTATACAAATGTAGAATAAACCTTAAGTTCGGGGAGAAAAATAAAAGCTAGAGTTTTCCTTTCAGCTATAGAACAGTCATTTATTTCTATAAATGTTCTTTATGTAGCTTTCCTATTTCCACATTTAAAAAGATAAATACGGGGATCTACACAGGTCTCAGTAAATAATAGTTCTTGATTAATAATACATTTATGATAAAGCTTGAAGCTTAAAATAGAATTTTGCTCAGCTCATATCTTTTATGGTCAGGCTGCTATAATTATGTAATACCCAGTTAAATTTCAATTTCAGATAAACAAGGAATAATATTTTAGTATACGTATGTCCCAAATATTGCATGGGATATACTTACACTGAAAAAAGCATTTGTTTATCTGAAATTTCAAATTAACTGGGCATGTTATATTTTCTGTGGCAACCTGCTTTATAGTGAACAGAGTAAGTCAGCTGAATTTTAGAATACTTAACCCTAACCTGGTGTTCTAGGTCTTTCCTTTTTGTAATTATTATTATTATTTGGAGTCAGGGTCATGCTCCATCACTCAGGCTGGAGTGCAGTGGCACAATCACAATGCCCTGCAGCCTTGAGCTTCTGGGCTCAAGTGATTCTGACACCTCTGCCTTTGACTCCCAAGTATTTGTACCACAGGTACGTGGGCCCAGCTAATTTTTTTTTTTTTTTTTCTCATAGAGACAGGGTCTCAGGCTGGTCTGGAACTCCTGGGCTCAAGCAATCCTCCCACCTCTGCCTTCACTTCCCAAATAGCTGAGACCACAGGCACACGCCACCACCATACCCAGCTTATTTTTTTTATCAGTTTGGTGCAAGAGTAATTGTGGGTTTTGCTATTGAAAGTAATGGAAAAACCCATAATTACTTTTTGCACCGCCCTAATAATTTTTTGTGGAGACAGGGTCTTGCCCTGTTGTCTAGGCTGGTTTCCAACTCCTGGGCTTGAGTGACCCTCCTGCCTAGGCCTCTAAAAGTTCTGGGATTACAGATGGGAGCCACTGCACCAAGTTAATTTGTATAATTTTTAACATAAACATAAATATTTTGAGAAATAGAAATGTTAAAACCATTAGAGGAAAATATATTGTAAAGTATACAATAGAAAAAAAATCAAACAAAATACAACAAATACAACAAAAAAAATCAAAATTTTCAGAGGAACAAAACAAAATCTAGTTTTACAATCTTCAGAATTCAATCCCATTATATCAAAAATATAAAGAAACACATTCAAAGAAAAAGGCAATCAATAGAGACTGACCTCGAGATGACGCAGATGTTGGAATTAGTGTGGATTTTTAAAGTAGTTATTGTAATTCTTACTAAAATCAAAACCCCAAAAACCCGTAAAATAAATGGATAGGAAATCACAGCAGAGAAGAAGAAACTACAATAATAACAAAGGCTAAAGTGGAAATTCTAGAAGTGAGAAAGTTTTCAAAATTAAAAAATAACAATCAGTTGTGTTCAGGAGCAGCTTGGAGGTGGTAAAGAGTCAATGAACCTTAAAATACAATTGAAATGATTCAATCTGAAAAATGTGAGCAGTCATAAGTTGGGGTGAGGGAGCTTTTCCTTTGATTAGTGCTTTTAGGTAGTCTTGGTTTTGATAAGATTACTAGACTGATCCGTCAGGGGCATGCTAAGCAGAGTTTATCTTGGTTTCAGTAGTGCTTTAAGCAAAACTCATGATATTCTTGTGTACAAGATGAAAGAAGAGTGGACCAGATGACAATATTTAGATGAAGTCATTCTTAACCTCCGTTGCTCTCCCAGTGGTCTAGCTGGGGTTTGTATAAAGTGGAATGGGAGGAATGGGGAAGAAGCCCCCACCTACCCTTTCCCCTTGTCCACTTGTCCTCCTCCACTAGTGGATAAAGTCCACGGGAACAGGCAAGTTATTTTAAATCTGTATCTTCTGTTGTCAAGATCTGTAATCAGTTCTGCTCGCTGGACTGGGGACAGAAACCAAGGGAACATGAGGGTGAACGGGTTGACATGGAGTCCAGGAACACACTGTGCCTACGTGCAGAATGTTTGTGCCACGAAGCCAGTCAGCAGGCAGATGGTCTCAGATAGCAAGCTAGTGTTGGGAAGCAAGATTCAGTCTCTTGAAGGCGGTGTTCCTCATTCTGTGGTTTGTATCACTTGCTTCAGAATGACCTAGAGTACTTGTTAAAATGCAAATTTTGAGCCCAATCCTAGACCTCCTAAGCCTGTATCTCTACGGATGGGTCTCAGTAGTCGATATTGGAAACGTGCAGGTCCCTAGGAGATGCTTATGCATATAGATTTGAACTGTTGTGTTTAAGGGTTAGGGAGCTGGCAAAAGCAAGAAATAGGCCAAGCCCTTGGGTGGGAAGGCTCCATAACCTTGGCACTGTTAGCATTCTGGTTGGAACAGGATTCTGCCACGTGTTTCGCAGCATCCCTAGCCTCTACTCTCTAACCCCGTATTCCAGTTGGGAAAACCAAAAATGTCCCCTGGGAGGCAAAATAGTCACCAGTTGGGAACTGGAACCACTGCTTTGTGGGATCAGTGTGGTTACTTTGCTCCCAATCCAAGGATCAGAACACACGATGAGAGAAAGTCCAGCTATTGGAACTGGAGTGCCAAGTTGGAGCTGGACCTACAACAAAAGCTCCAAAAGCTCCTTTAAAGGGCTGATCCCATGCCTCAGCTACCTAGCTTGTACAGATGCCATGTAACTTCAGATTTGGTGACAGAAGGAATTTAAAGGCTAGAACTAGATAGGGTCTTTCAAGTTAGGCCAGCACACAACGTGGACTTTTGATATCATCCAGATGCTTGAACCAACCTCAGTCCTGAGGCAGAATTTCCCGTGGCATCTGATACACAGCCTGGATTTGGAGCACTCACTGGGATTAGATGCCACGGAAATATTGTTTAGGAACTCTGAAAGAGACAGGCTTCAACAAAGCAGACCTAAGCAACACATAGCGTCTGAATTTCTTTATCAGCTTGCATTCCAGCCCACGAGGACAAAAGCATCACATACATATCCACTGTGGCAAACCTGTCCTCATTAGGGAGTTTTCCCAGAACTACTCTCCCCTCTGTTCTGAGACTACTTGCTCCTTTGTAATGTTTCTACTTTCTGTCTCACTCCCTAATAGATGATTTGTCCTCTCTGCCCGGGCCCCTAGTTCTGATATTTGGATTGTCTGCAATCTGGATACTACTTAGGAGGTAGAATCAAAGCCTTGTTGATGGGATTGGGAGTTTCTAACTTCCTATTAAAGGCACTGATTAAGCATCTATTGTATAAAGTAAGTAAGATTATGATCCAGTAAGAAAGATTCCACAAGTAGCGCAGGAAGAATTGGTTTCTACTACACTTCATGCTTCAGGACAGGAAATCCAGAAAAAAATTCTGTGGTATGTTAAGTGTGTACTGTAAGTTTAATTTCCATGTGAAAAGCTTTAGTTAGCTAAAAAGTACATCCATGAAGAATCCTGATTAAACTTGTTTAATCCTGGTTAAACTAGGTACTAGCTAAATAATAATTTCACAACAACTCAAGAACTCTGTAAAATCATTTCCTCTGAATATTTTATTCAGAAAAAAAACACAAAAAGATAAGGCAGAAACAAAAATCCCAGTCATTTGCAGTATCTGTCAGCTTTCAATTTGGTTCTCTTGTTTAAACAAAGAAAAATAGTAAAATTAATCTAAGTAAAACATGCCATATATATTCAACTGCTACTAAATATAAAAAGCTTTAAAACTGTGTGTTCAATTTTGGTTACTGTATTACCACAGCAGTTATATTAAAATATGTATACTTTCAAATTTGGTTTCGATAAAAAATGGATTCTAATCTTATATAAGTTATTTCCCAATATTCAATAAATGTTGCCTAAGGGCTTTTTCAATCCAAATAGCAATTTTAATTATTCTGGAATTTAAGGGTGCTTTAAATTTCCATTTAATAGGGTGAGAATGCTGTATTATTACGAGTGATAAAAGTTACAGGACATAGAGGTTATTCCGTTTTAGAGTCCACATCCTGATTACATTTTATATCCTCTTCTTGATTTCTTACAACTAGATACATACTCATTTGCTCAGCTGGAAAAAATTCTTAACATTTACTGACTTTAGGTATGAACTCTACCAGCTAGTTAATAGGAAATATGTAATTAAACATTGCCTTTATCAAGTAATGTAAGAAAAGCATAAGAGCAACTTTGCAACATAGGAGTTGAATGAGAGGCTGGTGATTATCAAAATCTGGCACTTAATTGATTTATACTTGCACACTCACAGCTAAACGTCTCTACCTGTTTTTCTATGTTGTAAATCTAGGACATTACTTATCTACATAGGAAGAGTAATAAATATTAATAATGTGCTATGATAAACATCCTGTACTCTTCCAAACCTTACAATAAAACTGCTTCAATTTCACTTGTTTAGCTTTTATACTTAGTTTTTTAGTTGATCTATGCTTATTTTAAGGAACCTGAACTACTCTAACAGAATCCACATAATTTTTATATTAGTCAAACTGCTTCTTTCTAACTCTGGTTCTAATAGTTATAAAAAGATAATGATAAATTTATGAAGTACATACAGTCAAACCTGAATTTCTTAGAATATATACTTAGAATAGGTTATAATTTTTAGATATTCTTTCTTGACAGTCTTTTCCCAAACTCATGATGTCCTCTCTAGGTAATATTGCCACACTCATAAATTAGCAATAAAGACAAAAATGTGAAAACTACAGTAATTTAAGAGAATATAGGTTTTCTACATGCCATTTCTATTGGCTACTGAAAATAGTGAAAATAAGTAAATAAATAGCTACCTGTCCAGAAGCGTCTCATGCAAAAATCCATCTTTCTGAGCCTTTTTAAGAATTTTACTGTCTTCTTTACTTATTTTAAGCTTGTGGTCTTGGAAGCTCTGAAATTTTCTGCAGAGAAAATGTCTACATTGAAAAATACCTCAAACTCTGATTATACATATTTACTATTAAATTTGTAAATACTGTTAATTTCTTTTTCACTTATTAAAAAGGTTTAATTGTAGGCCAGGCACAGTGGCTCATGCCAGCAATCCCAGCACTTTGGGAGGCCAAGGCAGGCAGATCACTCGAGGTCAGAAGTTCGAGAGCAGCCTGGCCAACATGGTGAAACCCCATCTCTACTAAAAATACAAAAATTAGCTGAGTGCAGTGGTGCGCGCCTGTAGTCCCAGCTACTCAGGAGGCTGAGGCAGGAGAATCACATGAACCTGGGAGGTGGAGGTTGCGATGAGCCAAGATCATGGCACTGCACTCCAGTCTGGGGGACAGAGCGAGACTGTCTTGGGGGAGAAAAAAAGTCTAATTGTATTTTTTTTAATAAGCTGGAGCTTTTGAACAAAAAAGATGACCTTCATAACCTCTCAAGAGGAGGGCCACTCATTGACTGGGTAGCAGAAGGCACCACTTCTATTAAGGCATGGTGGCTGGAGTCCCCTGTGTCCTGGCCACAGCACAGCCTTTGACTGGCATCATGCCCATTCTATGAATGAATAGAGAGATTGACTAACCCGAATGACTAGCTTTGGGAGCTGGTAGGATGATTAGGAAAACTGAACCCTCAAGAAGAGAAAAGCATTTAGCTCAGTGCTCTGTCCTAGAGGCTACATTGTGTTGCCTCTTCTTGTCCATCAGTTTTCATTTTTTCAGACAGGGTCTTGCTCTGTCACCCAGGCTGGAATGCAGTGGTGATCAGAGCTCACTGCAGCCTTGAACTCCTGGGCTAAAACAATCCTCCTGTCTCAGCCTTTCATGTAGTGGGGCCTACGGGCATGCACCACCATCCCCAGCTAATTAGGTAATTTATTTTGAAAGCACTTTGAGAAGCACTTCACTGTCAAATCTGTAGGTCTAAAAGGAAAAGCATACATACACATAATTGATTTCACATTGTTTTACATTTCCTTTGTCTTCTTCTGGAATGTCATCTTTTTTCTTGGTTTCTCTTTCAGCACAGGATCTAATCTAGATATTGGAAAAGAGAATCCAATGGGTTATATATTTATCTTCCATCTTCCCCACTTTACACATCACCTAAGAATATTCGAGATGATTTCTTATGCAGAAGAAAAAATTAACTGAGCAACTATGTTCAGAAAAAGACAGGTTCTGGCTATGTGTTTTTACTTCATATATATAATCTATATGAGTAAGTGCTATCACATGCTTTCTCCACAGCCCTTGTGTCAGAAACACTACAGACAAAATTATTTCAGAAACATTTTACACATCAGATCCTGTTAGGCAATAAAGAAATCATTAATTTAATTTTATCCTCCAAGTGAATACACTAGGATCAAATTATCCCTAGTAGACAAGTGTTCATTTGATCAGATTGAAAGCTTAATAGCTATTTTATATTGCACAGACTATTACCAAAGTATTAAAACTTTTAACATTACACAACTTGATTTTAATTAATTGGAACTCACCTCTTTTACTAGCTTCTTATATCCTCCTAAGTTTGGATAGATGTTTACTATCACATGTCATCAGTTAATTAATCTGCATTCAAAAATTAGGATTGCCCACAGAACAGGCAATTGGCAATGGTAAGGAATCATGTCTCCTAAGGGATCTCTGTGGCCAGAGTCCAGTTCCAGGGCTGCTTAGACAGTGATGACAAATAACGTGTTTGTGCCAATGACATCTTTGTGACAGTTTTGATTAGAGGGGTCCCAGACCTGAAAACATTCCCTGCTAGGGCCTGTAGCACAATGCTACCTTTAGTAAGAGGGGTCTGTGTTCTGGTAGACAAGGCAAGGTCATAAAGGTGAAGGGCTGACAGAGATTAGGAGAGCCTGCAATTAAATGGTACAAAAAGAGTCCTAAATAATCACTGTTCAGAGCTTCCAAGTACTTGACTAACCAAAGAGACACAGAAAACTTTGTATTTCATCTGAAAATTGCTTTAAATAGTGAAAAATGCAATGTTTGTGTAAGTATCTTTGTATCTTTGTATAAGTGCAAAGCACCGCACATATATTTGCAATTGTTGCCTTCAGTAACACTTTTGTGATGATATCCAGATGAAAAATAATTTAAACATGATACAATAAAATATAAATAAGTAAAATTAAATGTAAGTCACAAACCCATCTGCATTTCCTCAATGACCTGTTTCCTGAGAAGCAATGTGCTATGAAATACTGAGAGTGGCCTCTGGAGTCAGCTGGGCCTGGGTACACATCCTGTCTTACCACACCTTGAAATCACTGTGATTTCCATGAACTGACTGACAAAAACCACGAGGATGTAAGGAGGGTCAGAGGCTGTCTTCCTGTCTGTAAGGCTGAGCTCACATCCACCTCACAGGAGCATTATGGAAATTCAAGACTACAACTCATGTGCCGGATGCATGCAACAAAAAAATATAACATTTCACTTCTCTAACTGTAAGAAAATACCTACATGTTAGATTGAAATTGTCTGAGCTTTAGATTTGAAATTATCTGAAATCAAGACTATTCTAAAGAGAAAATCAAACATATGACCGGAAATCTAACATGAATCATGTACAGAGAATTGATAGATGCTTTTAAATTACACTGGTAGTAGATAAAAATGTAACATAAATTTTTATGCTCTAATTATAAGAACGAAGGGCATTTTAGAAAAGGCATTTGCCCCCTCTCTTAGAGCCTTCCACTCTGGCCCCCACAACGCCTTACAGAGCAAATCTGGGTCAGACTGGATGCAACCTGGGATTCCCAACAGAGACAAACAAAGTAAGGTTCTGGATGCTCAGTACTGGGATGGAATGCCAAGACACAGAAAAGCCATGTGTCAAGAAGAGGGGAGTTATTCTTTAGACACATCCTAGTATATGTTTATCATTAAAGATCAGTGCCTTTGCTCAGTACTGCGATGGAATGCCAAGACACAGAAAAACCATGTGTCAAGAAGGGGGGAGTTATTCTTTAGACACAACCTGGTATATGCTTATCATTAAAGATCAGTGCCTTTGCTCAGTACTGCGATGGAATGCCAAGACACAGAAAAACCATGTGTCAAGAAGGGGGGAATTATTCTTTAGACACATCCTGGTATATGTTCATCATTAAAGATCAGTGCCTTTGCTCAGTACTGCGATGGAATGCCAAGACACAGAAAAACCATGTGTCAAGAAGGGGGGAGTTATTCTTTAGACACATCCTGGTATATGTATATCATTAAAGATCAGTGGCTTTTGTGAGTCTAAAAAATTAATCCTTAAATGTTTTCATCAAGTTCCAGTTAACTACCTTAATTTTCTAGGTTATATTAACAGTATTATTTGGAATTTCACCTTGATATGAAGATGTCTGTGTAACTTTTACAATGATGTAAAACAAAGAGTAGGATTAGGGAGAGCACAGGCCACTGGTGCAATGGATAACGCATCTGACTATGGATGAGGGAATTTAGCCTGGAATAAGGAACTTTTATTTCCAGGTTAGTGATGCACACAAATTTTAAAAATAAAATAAAAATCATGTTTTACGTGATTCATGTTTCTCCTAATGCAAAGAAGACAGGTACTATTAATAAAAATATTTTTAAAATGTAAGGGCTAAGGCCCCAGAAGTTCTGCTATGATTTTTTATGTTTCATAGAGTGATTATCATCACAGAAGCTCAAGCATTATGTAAATACAAACACGTATGCCCTGACCTGGTAATTCTGTTCCTGGAAATTTATCTTCAGGTCCACCCGCACATCTACAAATTGATGCATATTCAATGTTATGTACTGCAGCACTGTTTATAAGAGCAAAAGACTGAAAAAAGCCTAAATTTCCATCTACAAAAGACTAAATAAATTAAGGTACATCCCTAAAATGGAATATTACGTGGCTGTTAATAAAGAGAGAGAGAGAAAGAGAGGAAAAGCAAGACAAAGAGAAACCTTTCTACATTCAAACTAATAGTAGAAAACTCTCCAAGATACAATTTTAAGGAAAAAAAAAATCAAAGTCGAGAAGACTATAGAGGAGGTTGCCTTTAGTGTAAAACAGTTGAAAATTATAAATATATTCATATGTTTATAAAGAAACTTTAGGAGGCTATAAAAAAACAAAACAAAGAGAAAGAGGAACAGGAGCTGGGACACAGGTGAGTAAGATGCATGGCAGGCATATATCTTCATCTTTATATGCTTTTATTTAAAAATGTTGGACCACATGTACATGTTATCTATTTAAAAAATCAGATTTTAAAATACAAACAAGAAAACAAGAAAATGAAAGCTTAAAAAGAGCATGTGGAACTACCAGAAAAAAGATACTAATCCATGGAGATAATGGCAAGGTAGCTCCTAGATGCACTGATTTCTCTACCACATTGTATAAACAAGCCATCAACTATGGGATTTATAATTAAAAATGAGTCTATTTGAAACATCACATTATAAAAGCTATTAACTAAATCTTTAAAGTGACAGTAAATGATGACTTAACATTTTAAAGAGATAGTCACATTGCATGTGTGAATGCAGTCATCTGTATAAAATGTCATCGTTATCTTGATCATTTCTTCTTCTCCTGCTGTTTTACCTTTTGCTTCTATGTCCCCTGTTTCATTACATCTAATAAAGCAGCTATTTGAGGCCAACAAAGCCATTTTACCCTAAGTGAAACAAAATAACAATATAGCCATGAGGATACTTCTTGTAGAAGAAACATTAAGTGTTTAGACTGAATTAATTTTTCCTCCCTGATTTAAAAATCACAGAAAAGAACTTAGAGAAAAACCTGAAAAATATAATACAAGAACATATAGAAAAGGGAACCAAAATCAACTTTCATTTTACTATTCAAAGATTACCACAATAAACATTTATAATGTATCTTCCTAGTAGGACTAAATTCTAATTAGATGAGGTAGGATTGCTTCCTTTCTAAAAGATCTACTGAAGATAAAACTGATTTAGTTCTGTTTGGAAAATTAACTTTAAAGACAAGAACATAATTATGAATGCATACTTTATTCAAATATTAACATTTTAAGTAAAATTTATTTTCTTCACAATTAGAAAACATGAAAATGTATATACAATGCCTTCGGTGTTTGGAATTTAAGAATCAATGTCTGAGGGACTTTTGTGTGTGAAAATAAATATTCATATACATTTTTAATTGTTTAATATTTGATGTATTACACTGGTTTCTATTAAACAAAACTTTAAAAACTGATTTTCTTGTGTAGCTAAATCTGGGTTATAAATTTGGTTAGCTTAACTCCCGTAACAAATATAACGTTTATTTATAACTTGTATTTGGTTGATTCTTTTGGAAAACTTGGAATACCATAACATTTAGACAAAATATTTATAAATACAATGATTACAAAATATGTTAACCTTATAACACATCCAGTTAAAAACGTGCTGATAACATGGATTTAATTTCTTAGTCAAGTCACAAGGGCTGGGTGGTCTCTCATCTGGATGGCTACTGGTGAGCTCTGGAACATGGCGGTGTGGTCCAAGGCGATTTAAACCTGTGCCACAGATTATTCAGCTGAGTCCTTTTTGCAATAGAGTTTTAAGACCCTCTTTCATTTAAATTTAAATTTTTGAAACTTAGTGTCCTTCCTAAAAATAAAATGAAATGAACTTTCCTAAAGTGTTGTATTATTAGTACTATCTAAGTCATCATCCTGGCCTTATGAAATATTGGCATTTTCTACTGGTGTAACTTTTATTAGAAGCATCTCATCATAATAAGTAGAATCATCTCAAAGGGGTTGCAACACATTAGCAGGTAATGAAATCAATGTAGTGTTTCCTGAACGGTATTGGGTGGGTGGGGGCGAAAAGGAATACACACAGACACACAGAGGAAGGGGTAAAAGAGAATAAGAAATATCAAGGTTCATAACACATGGATAAGTATGTATTGTTAAGTACAACTCTTGCTTCAGTTATACATATGTGTGTGCTGGGCTGCAATGTAAAAATGCATTTGTCAATGGATTGGGTCAAAATAGTTTTCAAGTCACCGACTTAAGATTTTATCCTAGGGGATGAGGAAATTAGTCTAAGTGATTACCACTTTCTGGTGGGATGTTTGTTTAATCTGTCATCTTAGAAAACACTGCTGAGTACCTATTTTCAGTTCATTAATGTATACTACCAAAGCTGCTACTCAAAGCTGAGATTATCTTCTATTTGCTTGTTCTGCGTGGTGCCCACTGGTCCTTACTGTTTTTGATATAGTTATCTACTTTTTAAAGACAGTTTAGCACTCATATATTTTTGTTCAATCTTTTCTTCTCACACAAACAGAAAAAGGAAATTATGTATTCTGTATCAACAAAGATTTAACAAAACATCCATATACTACAATTGTTTACTTACTAAAATTAAGAATTAGTATATTATCTTTTTTCTTCTTATATTAAAACTATCTTTTCATACACTATTTTAAGCTTATGAACTGAAAGTCTTTTAGAGATAATTTACTTCAATGAACTATTATTATTTATATTTTATACGCAAATTGTCACAACTTGGTCTTAGCTAGCTCCACTGTTTACTTGCAGTCTGTAATGTTTCTGAAATCATCCATGTTTTCTGCTACAAAGAAGATACTTAGGAACTATTCTGTTTTCCTACTCTGTGACCTAAAATTGACTGGTTCTTCAGTGGAAATGAGATCCATACCTAGGCACTAAGGGTATAGAGAAATAATTGTGGGCAAAAGTACTAATGCTATTTTTGTTGCACTACATTTTGAAATCTCTTTAAGGCTGTATGTTCTTAGTGGTTTATTCCAATTTAATGTATTATACTACTGCATCCTACTTTTTGTTTTTAAATATATTATGATTTACTGTTACAGACTTTGTGTTAAACTGACAGGAAGTTTTTATAAACAAAAACAGCACTTACATTTTGAAAGACTGGTTCCCATTGTTCTCTTGGTCCAATTGCAACTGAACGCCCAACAACAAGTTCATCTGAATTTATACCAAGATATTTTCCATAGCCAGATTTCAGGGTGATTCTGTACATTAATAAGATAGATAAAAGTTAAAAACTGAGAGAAAATTAATTATAGAACATCAAAACAGGACATGTGTATGTGTGTGGGTGTGTACATATCTAAAGTTTCAGACTGGACATATTCCAAGAGTTCAAAAGATGCATGTGGCTGAGTGGTGACTCACTCCTGTAATCTCTGTGCTTTGGAAAGGCAATGGGAGAATTGCTTGAGGCAAGAAGTTCAAGATCAGCCTGGACAACATAGTGAGACCCCATCTTTACAAAAAATTTAAAAAGTTAGCTGGGCATGGTGGTGTGCACATGTAATACTGGCTACTTAGGAGGCTGATGCAGGAGGAGTGCTTGAGCCCAGAAATTTGAGGTTATATTGAGCTATGATCACACCACTGCCCTCCAGCCTGGGTGACAGATTGAGACTCTGTGTCTTCAAAAAAAAAAAAAAAAGCTACATGTGACTAGTTGTTGCCATATTGGATGGTACAGTTTTACATTTAGTTTTATATTTTGCTTTTTTAATAAAAACATTATACCTTGTATATTACATAACAAATATTTTCAAAATTCATCATTCTTCAATTATACCTCTTTAGTTATAAACTTCAATAATAAATTACTAAAACTTTATGTCATCAAACTGTTTTCCAGAAAATGCTGCTTCCATTTACATTCTTACCTCAAATTAGCAGAGTATGGTTTGTATCATGGATTTTTTTTAAACATTATGACTCTAAAAAAATACTTGAAAACCTAATATGGAAAAAAACAGTATCCTACTAATTTGCATTTTAGTAGTTAACTAGAATAACAATTGTTTCTCTTTTCCTTTCCTTTTTAGTTTTTAGATT
This sequence comes from Homo sapiens, assembly GCF_000001405.40. Classification (NCBI taxonomy): domain Eukaryota; kingdom Metazoa; phylum Chordata; class Mammalia; order Primates; family Hominidae; genus Homo; species Homo sapiens. The sequence continues at coordinate 29,093,502 of NC_000020.11, read as the reverse complement.
ATCTGATAATGTCCCTTGTCCATTTTTCTATTCAGATTTGATTGTTCGCAATTTTTCTACTGGGGTCTTCAGTGCTATGAATTCTATACAAGATATGTATGAAGAGTAAGAACTCACTGCCTATTAAGATTGTTGCAAATATTTTCTCATTTGTCAGTTAATTTTCTTTATAATCCTTTTTTGTTTATAACTGTAAAGCAGTTTAAAACTATTGAATCTTTCTTCCTCTGCTTTTATTCTTTCACCCTACTTATCAGACTTTCAAAGAAAGTATAGAAATAATCATCTTAATGTGATGTTTTAAAATTATGATTTCTTTTACCTTACCAAGAATCTCCTCGGATGCCAGAATTGACTTTTACTCCTTTATACATTAATGATTATATAACAGAAATCATTATCATGTTGATGTAACCAATTACTAAAATATGTAAATTCACTTTCAGTATCTTTTACCCAAAGAATCATTCTATACTTCTGCACAAGGTGAGAATAAAAAAGGTTACTTTATAAAATGACTGTAAAAATAGTGAGGAAAAATATTCTTTTGGTCGTTATGATGCTGTAACATTCTCTGCTGGTTTTAACAATATTCCTTTTTTTTAGTCTTCCTGTTTGTCTTTAGACTTCCAAACAGTGAGTTTAAATATCATAGCAACAGTGAACCAGGTTTTGTACAAATTTATTTATTTTTTAATTTATCTTATTTGGTGTGTGAAATTATTAATCTTCATTTTTTAACTTACATATCTTTTTTCCAGCCTAGCATTATATATTGATAAGAAATCCACTGAAAGTAGATCACAAAATCTACTTTTCAAAAAAGCTATTTTGTTTTATATATCAAAATTACCATGGACTTAAGATACATACTAAAATTTTTAATGAATACAATTAAATTTTTAAAATAACTGGTTACTAATTATATTACAATATAAGTTCAACTGGAATCAGATAATTTGACAGCCATAAACTGCTCTGGAGGACTAGGGCCCTCATCAACTATTGGAGAAAAAACATTTGAAAATAAATTTGACATTTGCTATAAATATAAAGATATTATTTTGCTTTAAAAAATGTGGCTATTTTCTTCTGCAATTAAATGTAAGAATATTCAGATATACTGATGTCACTGTAATACTGTATCTTTGGAATCAAGATCTATTTTACCTTCTTGTAACTACAGTGTTAATTTTATACACTGAGTAAGACAGGGTGATATAATGCTTATTTAATAACTTTTGAGATAGCTTCTCTTTATGTTTTAAAATACAGTCATAAATAAGCACTTATTTAAAAAAGCTAAATGCTTTCATTTATTCAATGGATGGCCTTGCTGATGAAATGATACTGCTTTTTATCTTCTAATTACTTCGTATCTTATTAGTGCTTTCTCTAATGGGCTAAAGAAAATGAAGAAACTTCAAATTGTTAAATGCACCCAGGTTAGTTTTGGTAATAGGTCTGAATAAAAAAGAAATTCAAATATGTTTGACCCAAATAGGTTTTCTTTTTTCTTTCCACTTACTATTTTAATTATTCATATTGTTTTGATTTCCAAAGATACTCTTCTGGAACCATACGGAATGTTTTCAAATGCTTATATTAGAAAGAGGGACTTGCCAATGGCTGGTAAATATTAAGGAATTAAAAAAAATGGAAGAGTCAAATGCAATGGTTCCATTCCTTTGGAAAATGTTTGAGACTAGTTAGAGTTTGGCCTAAGTGAATGAATGTCCTAAAATCTACACTTGTGGCAGGATCTTCCCTTCCAGACACAAACCTTCTTTGTGTGGAGCTCCCAGGGTAAAAATACCATTGTCGAGTACATGTATATAGGTTCCCTCATCCATTTCAATGGCTATGGTTCCTGAAATTTCACCAAAGTTTGTTACTGTTCACCAGATTCCTAAAAAATAAAAATGATATTTCAATTTTTTATTTTAGTTTTGACAGAGTTCTTTGTTATTATAACTTAGTTTTAAAAACCTTTTATTTTGCAGTCATAAGAAATACTATGAAGATCTCACATATCCTTTACTCGCTTTGTCTCAATGATAACATATTGCATAAGTATCATACATTGTTAGAATCAGGAAACTGACATTGATATAATACATGAAGCTTATTCAGATTTCACCAGTTTTACATGTACTTGTTTGCATGTATGTGCACAGATTCCTGCGACTACCAGCACAGTCAGGATTAGGTTTTTAAAATACACAATAGCAACATACAGTCAGGTATGGGGGTGCATGCCTGTAATCCCAGCTACTCGGGGAGGTGTGAAAGAGGATCACTTGAGCCCAGGAGTTCAAGGTTATAGTGAGCTATGATCACACCACTGCACTCTAGCCTGAGTGACAGAGCAAGGTCCTATCTCAAAAAAAGACCAAAACAAAACAAAAGGCAACATGTGAAGGTACAAAGTGATATATGGAGAACGGTCTCTCTCATGATAGACCCCAGCCATCTATTCATGCCTGCTTTCCAGAGGCAATGCCTATCATAATGCTTCTTAAAAATGCCTCTACAGGAAGACTTTCTAGCATAGTATTTTTTTTTTTTTTTTTTTTTGAGATGGAGTCTCGCTCTGTCGCCCAGAGTGGAATGCAGTGACGCAATCTTGGCTCACTGCAACCTCCACCTCCTGGGTTCAAACAATTCTCTGCCTAGCTTCCCAAGTAGCTGGGGTTACAAGAGCCTGCCACCATGCCCGAATAATTTTTTTTGTATTTTTAGTAGAGACGGGGTTTCACCACATTGGCCAGGCTGGTCTTGAACTCCTGACCTCGTGTTCCACCTGCCTCTGCCTCCCAAAGTGCTGGGATTAGAGGTGTGAGCCACCACACCCAGCCAGTAATCTTAATTATGATTTTAGATTGAAAGCAAAATGAGCAGAATCTATGTCTATGTATACTAATGTCCAATTTGCCAATAGAAATGTTAGAGTCTAGCAACCATTATTTTAGCAGTTGTTATAAAAGTTTATATCTTAATGTTAAAAAATATCCTCAAAACTCCTCCTAAATTGTACTTTAACTAGAGTAGAAATGAGTCAATCATTAACTGGATATGACATATTAAGGAATTCTTGTTAATTTTACAAGGTCTGATAATGACATAGTATAATGTATAAAAGTAAAGAACAAAACAGGTGATGAGAGAAAGACATACCACATTAAGAAATGTACATTTATGAACTTATGGGTAAAATGATGTAATATCTGTGATTTTACTTAAAATTTTCTAGGAAAAACGTGTGTGGGGGTATGTATGTAAACGAAACGAGATTGGCAAAATATTGATATTTAATGGTGGGGCCTGGGCACATGGGGGACTCATTATATTCTTCTATGTATGGATTAGTTTGGATATTTCCATAATAAAAAGGTTTTAAAGATTCAATTAATTCCACTGCACAAAATTTTCTATTCAACTAAACATTTCATGCTTTTCATAATCAATTTTAAAATACATAAAATTTTAGCTAAAATGAAGTTGGATCCTTGTCTAACACCAAATACAAAAAGTAACTTAAAATAGACAAAAGACCTAAATGTAAGAGCTAAAGTTAGAAAACTTTTAGAAGAAAATGGGAAAAGCTTCACGACAATGAATTTGGCAATGATTCCTTATATAGAACATCAAAGGCACAGGCAACAAAAGAAAACGTAGACAAACTGGACTTCATCAGAATTAAAAACTTTTGTGCATCAAGAACCACTGTCAACAGAGTAAAAGGCAACCCGGAGAATGGAGAAAATATTTGTAAACTACATACATTATAAGGAATTAATATCTAGACTATATAGAGAACTCCAGAAAGACAAATACCACAATTCAAAACTGGGCAAAGGATATATACGGACATTGCTCCAAAGATGATATACAAATGGCCAATAAGCACTTGAAAAGACGCTCAACATCACTAGTCACTAGGGAAATATAAATCAAAAACATAATGCAATACCACTTCACACCCATTAGAATGCTATTATCAAAACAAACAAAAAACAGAAACCAAGAAAACCAGAAAAACAAATGTTGGGCAGGATGTGGGAAATTGAAACCCTGTGCAATGCTGGTTGGAAGGTAAAATGATGCATGTATTCAAATGCCACTGAAGTGTATACGTAAAAATAGAAAAACTGGCAAATTCAATATTCTGTATATTTTACCTCCACACACACACAAAACCAATGGAGAAAAAGAAAATTAATCAAAATTAAAATTTCAGCTAAAGACGATTAGAAAGAAATAAAACTAATGACAATTTAGATGACTGAGTTATAGCTGCAATTGTTTTCAGTAAAAGAAATAATGCTTTATTCAGAATCATTATGAACAGTGTTATGATTAGCAAGTCTTTCCTATAAATGTAAGTTAATAATTTTAAATTAGTTTTATTTTGTATGTTCTATGCCACGTTCACCAAGTACACTTAATATTAAATAAAATCATTTAAATATAATATCTCATTAATGTTTTGCAAATGAAGAAGAAATTTCTGGCAGACAAGTTCCTCAAAATTTTCACCCTCTGTCCAAGTAGGGAAATGATACTACAACATTACTTATAATATTGTCAACTGAAAAAGAAATTAATTTGAGCAGATGCCAGTATTTTTTCTCAATGGGATTTCAAAGAATAAGAAAGCTAAACACAGTATCATCGAGAATTAAATGTGAGCATTCTGCCTACTTTCTGCAAGTGGCCTACATTCAACCTTTGGAGGTATGCTTATATGTTTAATGACTAAAGTAACATAACATGATACTTAACGATGCCACTAGGGGGTTTTAGCTGTGAAAAAGCAGTGGATCCTAAGAACAGTGGGCACTGAAGTTGCCTGTCTCTATGTCAGGTGACAGCTCCAGCTGTGTATATGCTGCAGACACACAAGCTGAATTTAAGAGAATCCACTCTAAAACATTACTTGCTATTTAGACATATGCTTAAAGTTATTTCCTTTTAAACCTTAGGCAGATGGTGAAATGTTCCTGCTGGGTTGTCTCACAATGCATAACAAAGCTTTTCACATATTTTCACATAGATGAGAATGTTTCCATATGTCTGGCATGCTTGTAATCCAGCACTTTGAGAGGTGGAAGCAGGAGAATCACTTAAGCCCAGGAATTCAAAATCAGCCTAGGCAACAAAAGGAGACCCCCATCTCTACAAAAAAATTAAGAAATTAGCTGGGTATGGTGGTACAAGGCTGTGGTCCCAGCTACTTGGGAGTCCAAGGTGAGAGGACTGCTTGAGCCTACGAGGTCGAGGGTGCACTGAGCCATGATCATGTCACTGCACTCCAGCCTGAGCAACAAAGCAACAGCCTGTCTCAAAAAAAAAAAAAAAAAAAAAAAACTGGCCCGATGCACCAGTGTCATGGCTGATAAGGTACTATCAGGGCACCCTCATTCTAGCATCAAGCCTGTGTGACAGCTCACCTCACATTCTGACTAACCCAGTTCTTCTGTGCTAAGGACCCCCTTAAATCTCTGCCTTCATTATGTGCTTGGCACAAAGGAATGATATATCTTAGATTTGGAAATGGAATTTTCTTTCCCAATCTTACTGTAGTCTAAGTACCTTTCACAGAACTTCTATTAACCCATAGCTGACTTAGCTTTAGTTCCTGGGTAAATCAAATCTGTGTTTTGCAAACTACGATGTTGTAAGTTCAATTGCTTCTGAATCTAGCAGAGCTCAGTGAAAATCCTTGCTTACAGACATGCTCATTTTTATTAATGTCACACATGGTACTCTCCATGTGAAAGTCAGAATTTCTTTCATCCTATTTACCAATCCCTTCAGATCCTTGTGAGGAACCAACAGAACAGCTTTAAAAAATTAAAAGGTTTTTTTCTTTCCCTTCACAAATAGGCACATGCTTACTTATACGGCAAGTTGAGAAAATCCACAATGCAAAAGAAGGTGGAAGGACAAAGAGAAAAAGACGCAGAAGGACTTACTCTTCCAGCCAAGATGGACTTGCCCTCCCACGATGACCAACGAGAAAACTGAAACTAGATAGAATATTTGAGAAAACTCTTTTCGGGGATTGGAACACAGGCAGAACAGGACTGTAATATTTGAGAACAAGAAAACACAGGAGGCAAATCTCACACACAATTCTGTTTTCTGCCCAATGGCAGTTTCTTGACCATGCAGAGAGGTAGAGACCTCCAGAAATGAGGTAATGTCACTGTCACTAAGCTGAGAGTCTTGCAGTGCTAACATGTTTGGAGTTTATAGAATAAGGTACTGGAGAAGAGGGAACTACATACAGGTGAGGTCTCAAAAGAGTATGCAAAAGTTCTCGGCAGGTCTGGGGCCAAGGGCTGGGGGGGAATGCATAGAGCAGGCAGGCTCCACAAGGCCTCGGCAGAGTGGCTGGCACTTCTGAGGGCTGATTGGAGATGCCAGAGATCACACAAATTTGGGACATAGCAGAGTGGAGAGAACTCACAAAGTATACCTAGAACATGTGGCTGAGACCCATGAGGATGAATCTTTCCTAGAGTAAGTGTCACTGTCTAAGTCTGCAGGCAAAAACCTAATAAATAAGCACAAACTAACAAAGGCCCAGGCTTGTCAGGAGCAAAAGGGTGGTCAAATAATTTAACTAGGCATCAAGACATTTAACAGAAATAAAAGTTAAAATGTTATGAAAATGAAAGACTGAATTTATAAGGAAGACTTAACAATCCTAAATGTGTACACATGACAGCTTCAAAATACTTTAAGCAAATACTGCTCAAGTAGACAGATCTAGAATTACAGCTGGAGATTTTAACATAACTCTCAATACATTGTAGGATGAGTAAAAAATCAGTAAGGACACAGAAGATGTGCATAGTCACAAGCTCCACCAGTTTATCTAACTGACCTCTGAAGAACACTGAACCACCGGGCGCCACGGCTCACGCCCATAATCCCAGCCCTTTGGGAGGCCGAGGCAGGCGCATTGCCTGAGGTCAGGAGTTTGAGACCAGCTTGGCCAACATGGTGAAACCCAACCTCTATTAAAAATATTAAAAAAATTAGCCAGGCGTGGTGGCAGGTGCCTGTATTTCCAGCTCCTCTGGAGGCTGAGGCAGGAGAATCACTTGAACCTGGGAGGCGGAAGCTGCACTGAGTCGAAGATCGTGCCACTGCTCTCCAGCCTGCTGGGCAACAGAGCGTGACTTCATCTCCAAAAAAAAAAAAAAAAAAAAAACCAAAACAAGAAGCCCTGAACCAACATCTGCAGAATACACACTCTTTTGAAGTGTACATGGAAATTCACTAAGAAAGTATGTTCTCCAACTATACTATAAATGAATTAGAAATCAGCAACAATAACATACCTATAATATCTCTATGTAGTAGAAATGAAAAACAATACACTTTTAAATAACTCAAATGTCCATGGAAAGAAAAATCACAAGGAAAACTAGATGATATTTTGAATGGAATGAAAATGAAAGCAAAATGTGTTGACTATAACTAAAACTGACGTGGAATGAAGATATCTAACTGCTTTCTTAAGAAGCAATAAAACAAGAGCAAAGTAAACTGAAAATAAGTTAAAGGGAGGGAAAAAAAGACTGAAAATAAATGAAATAAAAAATGAAAAAAAGACAAAATAAGTAATACTGAAACAGGCTTGTCCAACCTGAGGGCTACATGTGGCCCAGGCCAGCTTTGAATGCAGCCCAACACTAATTCATAAACTTTCTTGAAACATTATGAGATTTTTTTTTCCTTTTTTTTTGGCTCATCAGCTTATCATTAGTGTATTCTATGTGTGGCCCAAGACAATTCCTCTCCTTCCATTGTGGCCCAGGGAAGCTAAAAGATTGAATACCCCTGTATTAAAAGATCATTAATGATCTAAAATAAGTGATCTTATAAAGAATTGATAAACCTCCAGCTAGACTGACTGATCCAGGAAAAAATAGAAAAAACACAAATTACCAATATGAAGAGACTGCAATACAGATTAGATTCTAAGACATTAAAAGGATATTAAAGGAATATTCTGAAAAATTTTATGCCAATAAATCCAACAACTTGGATGAAATGAAATTTTCCTAAAAGACACAAATTACCAAAACTGACAACAGAAAAATCTGAAAATATCTCTTAAAAAATCTTAATTCTCCCACAAAAAACTAAAACCAAACCAAATAAAACCCTCTAGGTTCAGATGACTTCGCTGGTAAATCCTGTCAAACATGTAAAGAAGAAATCATACCAATCTTACACAGCTATTTCCAAAAACAGGGAAGCAGACAGTACTTCCCATCTAATTTTATGACACCAAATATCACCTTGACACCAAAATCAAATAAAAACATTACAAGAAAAGGATACAAAAGTCCAATATCTCCCATCAACACCAATACAGAAATCTTAAAAACAAACAAACAAACACCTAGAAATCAACTCAAGCAATATCCCTAAGGACAACGCACCACAACCAAGTGGGGTTTATCTGAGGGATGTAAAATTAGTTTAAAAGTTGAAAATGAAACCAATGTAATTCATTGGTAGAATGAAGAAAGTTGTATAATCATCTCAACAGATACAGAAAGAGGCATTTGACAGCATTAAACATCGTTATGATAAAAACTCCCAAGAAGCAAAGTTTAAAAGGAATGTCCTCATTTTGATAAAGGTTTTCTCTGCAGATCCTACAGATATCATACCATACGGTGGACTACTGAAAGCTTTCTGCCTAAGCTTGGGAACAATGCAATTATGCCCATTCTCGTGACTTCTGTTCAACACTATGGAAGTCCTGGACAGTATAATAAACCAATAAAAAGCAAGACAAGACTTAAGGATTAGAAAGTAAGAAGTAAAAGGATAGTCACAGGAAACATAATTGCAAATTTCTTAGTTTTCTATATAAACAAACCACTAGAAGTAATAAGTGAAACAGACTTATCAGACTACAAAGTCACTATACAAAAATCAATTGTATATCTACATACTGACAGCAAACAACTGGAAAATCAAATTCAAAAGTTCTACTGACAGTAGTGTAAAATTATAAAATACTTAAGAATAAATTTTTAAACAGGCATGCAAGACTGCTACATTGAAAATTATGAAATATTGAGGCCAAATATTAAGATGTTGATTCTCCCCCAAATAATCTGGACTCAATATAATTCTCCGAGAAAATCCAACAGGCTTCACTGTAGAAATTAATAAACTAATAGTTAGTAAGTACAAAGTTGGAGGACACACACTATCTGATCTCAACACTTCATGAAATTATAGCAATCAAGATAAATATACCAATAGAAAAAAAGACAATCGATAGAACAGAGTCCAGAAATAGACCAATACATAGAAATTTAATTGATTTTTTATGAAGATACGAAAATGGATTAATGCAAAAAGGAAACACCAGTGGTGCTGGCACAAATGGCTATCAAGATGTTAAAAAAAAAAAAAAGTAAATCTTGAAACCAAACTCACACCATGCGAAAAATTAATTTGAGATTAATGACAGATTTAATGTAAAAACTAAAACTATGAGACCTCTAAAAGACAATGTAGAATATTTTCCTGACTTTGGGGTAAGCAAAGATCTCTTAGATCAAAGAGATAAGGCAGTAACCATAAAATAAAAAAATAAACTAAGCTTTATAAAAATCAAAAGCTTCTGACCATCCTGGCTAACATGGTGAAACCCTGACACTACTAAAAACACAAAAAATTAGCTGGGCATGGTGGCGGGTGCCTGTAGTCCCAGTTACTTGGGAGGCTGAGGCAGGAGAATGGCATGAACCTGGGAGGTGGAGCTTGCAATGAACCGAGATCGTGCCACTACTCTCCAGCCTGGGCGACAGAGAGAGATGACAGAGAGAGACTCCATCTCAGGAAAAAAAAAAAAAAAAAAAAAAAAAAGCTGTCCATCCAAAAACCACCATTAAGAAACTGAAAAGGTAAAACTCAGACTGGGAGAAAAGACTGATAACTCCATCGACTCTTGGCAACGATGTAACTGGAGAACTAATTCATTGTTGGTGGGAGGGTAAAATGGCACAACCCCTTTACAAAACTTTTGGCAGTTTCTTATATAGTTAAACATTCACCTATCCTTTGACACAGCAATTCCACATCTACATATCTACCCTAGATATTTACGCTAATTTTAGAATTATTGATTTGCCATTTCAAAAGTAATGATTCTTCCAGAATATTAGCTTTATACCATTCCATATTTTATATATTTTTTAAGCTACCATAAATTATGAAGATTCAAAATGCAATTTGCCAAGTTTTAAAAGAGAAAAACAAGTACGGAAACAACTAAGTGGAAAACAGGCTGGTTAAGTGTGTTTGGGTCAGTTTATTTCTAGTATCATTTACAGGCTACCCTGATATTGTATTTAAAATTTTCATTCATTTCAGAGTTCACAAAATGATGATTTTTCCTGTGAAGATACTTCGTTTAAGAGACAACTGACTTCTACAACTAAAATGTATACATGTTCAAAGAAAATAACTTGTAAAATATATTTGGTTGAATAACATTTACATTAAGCCTTTAAAATTATGTATCAGAATCTCTGGCTATTAAGCAGTCTAATGGTGCCTACTAAGTCAGAGAGTTGTAATTCTTCTCTCCTGTGCTCTGTTCTGATAATGAAGTAAAGGGATCAGTAGCATCTACTGTGCTAAAGAATAAATGGAATTTACAACTGTAGGTAATATTTAAGCACTTTAAGACAAATATGAATACATCATAAATTTCTAACTAGGAAAATATTTTCAATGAGATCTCAAGAAATGTTAACTTTTTTCAGAATAAAGCACTGAAAACTGACTCACCAACATATCACACTGGGTTTCTTCATCTTCTTCTCTTCTTATCTTTCCTCTTTTTCTTCTTACTACAGGACATTATTTATACAGATGAGTTTAGGTATATTGATTTGTGTGATAAATAAATATCGTAAGATTGAAACTTGGAAGTCTTTTAAGCTGTTTCACTTATAAATTATTGATTTAGGAAGACTTACATTGCTATGCCCTCTTAAATACAGTACTGAGAAGTTGCTTCAGGCTTTGTACATATTATGCTAAAGTTCAAAGCAGATTGTAGAGCCGCACTGCCAGATTTTAAATCCTGATTCTGTCACTTCTTAGCTCTGTGATTTTTGTAAAAAGTACTGAATCTCTCTGGGAGTCAGTTTCCCCACTTAATAAATTAGGATAATAACTTAACTCTTAAGGCTATTGTGAGGATTAAGAGGTAATATGTATCTTCACGCATTGCTGGTGGAAATGTAAAGTGGTGCAGCATCTACAGGAAACAGTTTGGGGTTCCTCAAAAAGTTAAAGAGTTACCATATGACCCAGCAATTTTACTCCTAAGTATGTATACCCAAGGGAAATGAAAACATACACCCACAAAAATACTTACATAAGAATATTCACACTAGCATTAGTCACAATAGTCAAAAAGGGGAAACAACCTAAATGTTCATCAACTGATGAATGGATGAACAAAATGTTACATCCATACAATGGAATACTACACAGCCATAAAAAGGAACAAGCGCTACAACAATGATGGACCTCAAGAATGTTATAAGTGAAAGAAGCCAGATACAAAAGGTCACATGTTGCATGATTTCTTAGGAAATATTCAGAATAGGCAATTTCACATAGATAGGAGACTAGTGGTTGCCAAGGACTAGGAGAGAAGGAGGATGGGTTGTGATTGCTTTAATGGGTAGGAAGAGATTTCCTTCTGAGATGATGAAAATGCTGAGCAACTAGACAGTGGTGAACCTCTTGAATATGTACTAAAAACCACTGACTGTACAAAAGGGTGAATTTTATAATTATGAATTACATCGCTATAAAAAAATAAAAACCCAAGAGCGATTTGAAAAAAGTTAATGTGCAAAGTGCCTACAACAATTTCCTGGCGCATTGAAAGTGCTATATAAGCATTAATTATGATTATTACGATAATCTTAAGACACTCTTGTCTCCATTTTCATCATAAAGTTTTCAGAAGATAACTCACCACTCCTCACAGGAAATTCACAGAGTAAAAATCTCACATTCATTCAGGATATACCTGCCATTTATTCTGGCATCTTCATGAGGCCAGACTCCTCGAGAGGGTTCTCAAGGGCAGTGGCTTCAGCTCACTCCTTGACACTTTCTTTCCATCTCGCCTAACAATATCAAAACCTCTGTTTATCACGGAGACCAGAAGGAAATGCTCAATATTTGTATGTACAGTCAACCTCAGGCAAATCTGCCAGTTAAAAAAGAAGCGGGGATATGAATGCACAGGTATTTTTCTCCTAAAGAGCTAATAAATTACCACTACGACCTCCTCCTCACATTTGGCTCAATTTATTTACTGCATATACGTTCTCTAATTTAATCCTCACAGTCTTCTAAAGGTATAAAAAATGGTCTGAAAGTATAAATGTGTAAACGGAGGTTTAAAGATACTTGATCTCTTAATGAGTAAATGGAAGTTCAGACATATTAACCAATTTGCCACAAATTACAAAATTAGTAAATGACGGAGTGCAGGTTCCAGCCCATATCCCTATCAAAGCCTATATACACCTCAACCACTGTGTGATTCATCCTGGTTTCACTCTACATACTAGCTTAGAAAAAAATAATCAATAATTTTTCCAGGAAGAGACAATGGAGAAAAGAATAATCCCTAGTAAAGGAAGTTATTATCATGAACTACAAGATCAGACAAACGCAGACCCACCAGGCAGAGGCCGGGAGAGATGCCTCAGCGGACCCAAACTCATGGGTACGGGGCTACGGGTCACCCGCCCATCTATCCTGTTTCCAGTGTCGTCCACGCGGGAGGCTGCCCCTCTCTGCACAGGCGCCACGAACCGCGGCCCGGCCTCTGTCCAGCCCAGACAGGGTCAGGGCGAAACCTGGGAGGCCACGAAGCCGGCTCTCCGCACCACGGCTTCCACCGGATTCGCGGGCGTGGAGTGAATCCGAAAAGAACTGAGGAGGCTCCCGCTGGAGCTGCAGGACCCAGCTCTTCGCCTTGGTTCCCTTGAGCACAAGCTTGGTAGACTTCACAAAAGAGTACTCGGCCATGGCTCCGGGAGACTTCTACGTGGAGAGGCTGAAGCCAGCTCAGGACGAGTATGTGACCTGGAGCGGCACCAGGGCGGGGAGGAAAAGAAGTGGAGGCGAAGTAAACACTCCCTGACAGCGTCCGTCTATCCAAAACCCGCCTTCGTCTTCACCCAAACGCTGAGTGGCTGAGATTTCCACTTCCGGGTTTCTGCCAAGGAGCTACAGCGGCCGCAGAGGGCCGAAAGGTGTCCGCACGCATCTGCTCCCTGGCTCCCTCTCAAGGAGCCCCTGAGGATTTGTGCATCCCAGAGGTGGGGAAAGCCCGCCTGAGGCACTGGTGCTGACGGTGGCGGGACTGCTGGGCTCGCTGTGGAACCGCCTCCCGCTAGAGCTGCGGGCTGGCGACGGTCCCCGCGGAGGCGGGAAGCGGCTCAGGTTGCCCTCGCCGGCCTGTGGCGGCGAGTCTGGAAGCGCGGGTCACTCGGGGCTGTGCCTCACGCGACTGTGTGTGCAGGAAACAAGCAGGAAATACCCTAAAATAGAATGAAGCTCCATGTTTAGGGCCGCGGATGTCGCGAGTGCTGTGGGAATGTGGGCTAAGGTGGAGAGTTATGGTGGCGCGTGTTACAGGCTCAGGGGTCAGGAAGAAGCCTAATCGTGGAGGCGGCATCTGAGGAGGGTCTTGAACGCTGGGCAGGCTTTTGCCCCATAGAGATGGAGGAAGCTAGTCCTGTCTGCTGGAGGAAACAGGGCAGAGGCAAGAAGGGAGACGTGCAGCGCTGGTGTGAGGAGCCACGAGCAGGCCAGGCCTGTAAAGCAGAGTGATGGGAACCAAGATAGAGAAGGCAAATCGGGGTCCTGTGGTCGCTGAATAATTTGAATGAAATCAGTAAACAGGTGACAGGGATCCATCGCAAGAGCATGGGATGAAACGAGGAGTAGTCCACGGTGATTCCTCCGCAGCGGTGGGTATTAATAATCGCGTATGTGACACCAAAACGGTGGGTATTATTGATAGCGTATGTGACACCAAAACCACCCCACTCAAGTTGTGGCTCTTTCCCTAAAGTAGAAAACAGAAACCAGTTGGGTTCCAAGCATCCATGAAGATCTTACTAAATTCCTGATCCCTGATGGCACCATGGAGTCAGGATTGACTCATCTCAAACCTGACTCAGAAACAAAACCATCTCAATGTGCAGAGATGAGCGTCCTTACCTGCTATCATATTTTCTGGTGTTTTCACAGTGCTGCGCTTCCTAATCCCCATTCCACCGCAATCCACATGCCATGATGCTCAGAGGCATTAACAAAGGAGACACACAGGGGCTCCTCACGTTGGCTTTCCATGGTTTTGATGAAAATCTCAGTTTCCTCATCTCATACAATGTGGTTAGTAATAGTATCATTTAGGGTTGAAGAATTAAATGGTACGAATTATATAGGGTGCTTATTATAACCTACATGGAAAATGCCTAGGATATGTTAGCTATGCTCATCACCAACATCGTTATATGGTGGTAATAATCAGATAGTTAGGAAGCGCGACGCGAAGAAAATGGATACATCCTGTTGGGAATGAACGTAGAGAGATCAGAAGGTCAAGAACAAAGCCATACAACATGTCTGCAGTAAAGGGATAGAGAAAAGAAAGGCTATAAAAGAAGGAATGAAACAAAGTTAGAGTAAAATTATAAAATCAAAGTTAAGGACAATTTCCAGAAAGGGTAATATCATTTAATATCATAGAAGTTTAGGAGCACAAGATGGAAAAATGGCCTGTGGGTAACCGACATTGAGGTAGTCTTTAGGGAAGCTCCATTTCCGATAGAGAAGTAGACAGAAAGTCAGCTTGAAGCAGGGACTAGGTGAAGAAGCTGTTGGCTGGTCTCATGGGGAAATAAATAAGGGATCACATATGCCATATTTCTGGGTTTCTTTCTTTCTTGCCCAGCCTCTATATATGCCTAGAGTTTGGTGAAAACTTACAAAAAATAAAAATGAAACCAATTTAGTTTGTAGACTCAAATACAATGCTTTGTGTTAGAATCAAGATAAATTAATGCCTCTTCCTTCTATTGTCACCATCAATTTTGAAATTAAACATCAGCTTTTCTTCTTCATTAAAATCATTTTCAACTCCTTCCAGGTGTTGGTGGTTTGGGGGAGTTACATAAGCAGTCAAGTCTTGATGAGTAGAGGCGGAGGGAACAAACACTTTCAGCAAAGGGAGAATTCTGAAATTCTGCTCATATTTTTCCCCAGTAACTTTCCTATGTTTGTGAGGATATTCAGTCATAAAGATCCTAGTGAAATTTTTTTCAAGCTTGCCTAATCGTAATCACTGTGGACGTTTGTTTAAAATGTGTATTCCCAGGCCTCTCACCTGCTGATTCTGATTCAGGAGATCACGGATGGGACTCAGAATACATGTGTTTGAGAAGTACCACAAGTGGTTCTTATGGTCAGGCAAATTTGGGAATGTAACCAGGAATTTATGTTTTTATGACTGGCAGCTAGAAAAGATTCCTAGAGTCTTTGCTTTTTGAAAATGAAATATTTCTTTTTTAAAAGGAAAATTGTATGACTAGATACAACATTTATACATGTGGCACATGCACTATACTGTGTGCTTTTGTCATATTTACAGTTAAAGATGTGTAAGAACACTCTGAGAAAAATTATATATTAAATGCAAAGAGGGGTAAGTCAGGGTGGGGGAGAAATGGGAATGGTGTGCATATTGTTGCTAAAAGGTAGAAAAGCCAGAATGATAGCCATCTAAGGTTGCAAATAGCACATTGTAAGTTGAGGGAGCTTCACAATCATGTCTGAAACCTTCTTTGATATACTGAGTTGTAAACAGTGGCTTTGGACAAGATTTGAAGGAGAAACCAACTATGCTTTAAAGTATTCATTTAAAAGGCTTTAATTAAAGGAAAGTCTTTGTATTTACTTGAGCTAATTTAACTTCAGGACTTTAACAAATTACTAGCCCTTAACCTCTTAAAAATTGTCTTTCATTTCAAATGAAAGTTTAATATGGCCTTTATGTTGTATTGGTATACTTGTGCGAAGACTTAACAGCAAGGTACTCTACATTTCTAAATGTTTACTTCTTAATTTTGCTGGAAGAAATATACTAAATTGATTATTTTTAAAGCAAAGTAAAACAATTTATTTTGACAAGCGACACAGTATTTTCCCAGTTTTCAGGTGGCAGAGATTAGGCTTAACATCACTAATCATGAGAGAAATGCAAATCAAAACCAAAATGAGATACTATCCTATACCAGTCAGAATAGCTACTATTAAAAAATCGAAAAACAACAGATCTTGGGAGGCTGTGGAGAAAAGGGAACATTTACACATTATTGTTGTGAATGTAAATTAGTTCAGCCACTGTTTAAAGCAGTTTGGAAATTTCTCAAAGAATTGAAAATAGAATTACCTTTCAAGCCAACAATTCCATTACTGGTATATGACCCAAAGAAAGTCAGTTATTCTACCAAAAAGACATACACACTTGCATGTTCATCACAGCACTATTCACAATAGCAAAGACATGGAGTCAGCCTAGGTGCCCATCAACAGTGGATTGGATCAATAAAATGTGGTACATCCACACAGTATTATTAGGCCATTCTTGCATTGCTATGAAGAAATACCTGAGACTGGGTAACTTATAAGGAAAAGAGATTTAATTGGCTCATAGCCCTGCAGGCTGTACAGGAAGCATGGTGACGGCATCTGATGGCACCTGTGGAGTCTCCAGGGAGCTTTTACTCATGATACAAGATGAAGAAGGAGTAGGCTCATCACATGGCCAGAGCAGGAACAAGAGAGAATGGGAGTGGGAGTAAGTACCACACACCCTTACACAACCAGATCTTGAAAGAATTCGCTATCACAAGTACGGTATCAGTTCATGAGAGATCCACCCCCATGACCCAAACACCTCCTACCAGGCCCCACCTCCAACCCTGAGGATTACATTTCACCATGAGATTTATAGGGGCCACCTTCCAAACGATTTCACACACCATGGAATACTATGCAGCCATAAAAATAAAAAAAATCATGTCCTTTGAAACAACATGGATGCAGCGGGAGGCCATTATCCTAAGTAAATTAATGCAGGAATACAAAATGAAATACCACATGATCTCACTTATAAGTGGGAGCTAAACACTGGGTACTTATGGACATAAAGATGGAAAGAATAAACACCAGGACTACTAGAGGGGAGAAGGAGGAAGGCAAGGTTTGACAAACTAACTATTGGGTACTATGCTCATGTATTAATCTGTTCTCACACTGCTATATAGAACTACCTGAGACTGGGTAATTTATAAAGAAAAGAGGTTTAACTGACTCACAATTCCACAGGCTGTACAGGAAGCATGGCTGGGAGGCTTCAGGAAACTTATAATCATGGCAGAAGGTGAAGGGGGAAGCAAGGCACGTTCTACCATGGCAGCAGGAGAGCAAGTGAGCCAGGGGGGATGTGCCATATGTTTAAACCATCAGATCTCATGAGAACTCACTTACCATGTAAGAACTGCAAGGGGGAAGTCTGCTTGCATGAGCTAGTCATCTCTCACAATGTCATTCCCCCTACATTGGGAATTATAATTCAACATGAGATTTGGGTGGGGACACAGAGTCAAACCATACCAAATCAGCATCTGGATGACGGGATCATTCATACCCCAAAACTCAGCATTATGAGATATACCCATGTAACAAACTGGCACATGTACCACTGAATGTAAAATACAAGTTAAAATTATTTTCAAAATGAATTAATGAATGAATAAATAACTATGATTAAATGAAATTAAAATTTTGAATTAAAAAAATTTGAGAGTGATTTCAGCTTGACAGTTATGTAAGTTATGTAAATGGAAAAAGTGAGTTCTGTAGGGTTCGGATCAACTGCACTATCTGTACAAAGTTGATGTCCAGTTGTTTGGAAGAAAAGAAAATAGGAGAAACATATAGATCTAACAGGAATAAAATGGACAAGTTTCTATGATAGCAAAAAGAAGAATGGAGGAAATAGGACTGAGGTTATAGTGATTGATAGATATTAATAGATGACTAAGTCGAAAGCCACTGGTTGCAGAAAATATTGATTAATTTTTATTCCAGTCAGACAACAAAATCTTATAACCTGCCTCTAGAGAAAACCCTTTTAGCCCTGTAATTATCTTTATTCCAAGCACCATTCCATTCATTAAGTAGTGTATAGGGTGATTAATAAGTGAATTATTCACAGAATTAGGACAGAATTTTTGAGTATTTCAGGATATTAATACTATAGTCAATGAACTAAAATAAAATTTGACTAGAGGTGTGATCGCCATGAATGCCATGTTGGTATCTTGTTAGATTTGGCAACCTAAAGTTGACAAATTTATTAATAAAATAAACGTTCCTTGATGATTAATTTACATTTAGTAAACATGCCCTTTCTTCTTCCTTCCCTTTCTTATTCATTCATTCATTCATTCCAACAGAGCAGTGACTTTCATTCTAAGATTCCCAGAATCCTAAGAATTCTTGAATGTCATCATAGGGAGCCAGGTGTGAGGATTCCCAAACGTCGTATTTAATACTGGAAAAATCTCGAAAAGTTATATATTTACACCAGAAAAAGCTATACAGGTTTTAAGTTATATATATATAGTTGAATACTTTTTATTTCTATCCAGAACTAAGTCATTAGAGTTAATAATGTTGATTATTTCATACTGACCTAGTAGGTAGCCTTTATATATCATTGATTACTTATTAGTAAAATAAGAACCCCCCAAAAATTACAAAATAAATATATTTTGTGGGGTTTTCTTAAGGCTTTTGAAACATAAAATCAGAGGAGAGGATTAAAAGTAATCCTTGATTGTTAAAAAGGCAGGGAACTACTAACTTAGAAAATTGTATGAAAACAGCAAGATATATATATGGCCCTCAGACCAGCTGCCTGTTTTAATAAAGTATTATTGGAGCACATCCATGGATCTATGGTGCTTTCCTGCTACAATGGTAGAGTTGAATGGTTGCTATAGAGACCGTATGGTTCGCAAAGCCTAAAATATTTATCATCTGGTCCTTTATAGCAAAAGTGAACCCAGTTTTAGAACATTCACTTTACAAATTAGGATACAGTGGATGCTGCCTCAACTGACCTCCACTTAACTGATTTGCAATCAGCACTTTCTGGTACCCCTGTACAACTTATTGACTGATGTCCACTGTAAACTGAAAGCCTTTGAGCTACTTTTAATGCCTGTACATTTCTCCTTCCATTACAGAAATTGTATAGTTTCTAAGAGGAAGCTGTGTTGATTCCTAAACATGTTTACACAATTTGTTCTTGTTCTTGTAGCTATGCGATTTAATTAAATATTATGTTGAGAGGCTGAGATGGGCGGATCACTAGGTCAGGAGATTGAGACCATCCTGGCTAACTCGGTGAAACCCCGTCTCCACTGAAAATACAAAAAAATTAGTTGTGCATGGTGGCGGGTGCCTGTACACCCAACTACTGGGGAGGCTGAGGCGGGAGAATGGCATGAACCTGGGAGGTGGAGCTTGCAGTGCGCAGAGATCGCACCACTGCATTCCAGCCTGGGTGACAGAGTGAGACTCTGTCTGAAAATAAATACATAAATAAATAAATAAATATTATGTAAACTGAGAAAATGAGTATAACAAGGGTAGTATTGTTTCTTTGAGAAATAAACTAAATGTGTTGGAAAAATGAGAAACTCAAACAGTTGCTGTCAGCTTAACTCTTGGCAAGACAACTAGAAATAAATGGGAAAAATTGTGTAATCTAGGATTTCAGATTGTTTTACCCCAGTTGTCTTCACAGAAAGTGAAGAAGAAATCCATGACAACGTATCATTGGCATAGTTTCCACAAGAAACTCCACTCTGAATCCGTGCAAGGCTTTGACCTTGTCATCAAAATTCTGGCAAATTTATTTACATATGTCTTTTAAATTAAAGTTTTAAGGACTTACATCTAATACTTCTTATGATTCCTCCATCTAACTTAAATTCGTGACTAATCTGTTTATTACTTGTCACAATCTGATTGAATAAGGGGGTTTCTACCGTTTTTGCTAACCAAAAGTTTAATTTGATGAAGATGGAATTATAAATATAATAATTCTAGTTTAAAGAATTAGAATGGTAAAGGTTAATACAATTTAGTATGCCTAAAAATCACTTGAAAAGCTTACTAACAATGTAAATTCTTGTGCCTTAGGCCTGAGATTTTGATTCAATAGGTCTAGCATGGGACATAGGAATCTGGATTTTTAGGAATGATGAAGGAAAATTGCTTAAAATAGGGTAAATTATGACTTACAAATATAAAATGAACACTTGTCTAAGATTTTTAACTCATTTATTTAATGAGGGAGCCAGTAAGATGTTATACTAAGTTTTATGGAAAATTAAGAGCCACACATATCTAGGCACTAAGGAACACTGAAATAAATTTGCTTGATAAGTTCAAAACTGACTTCTTGATGGAAGGTGGAAAAAGGAAAATTAATTATACTTCCACCAAAATCAATCATTTGCCTGTCTATAGACAAGAATATTTGCATTACTATCAGTAATCTACAACTAACAGAATTGCAAATAACAAAGAAAACAAAAGACACAGAGACCCCATAGAAACAGATAACCCAGGTTATTCTAGACAAGGATGAGATTTCCATTAAAGACACTCAGTGGTAATTTCGTTGGTCCATCTTAAAATCTTTCCATTTTCTCCTGAAACAAATTGCTCAAGCAATTCAAATACAATGAATGTGGTCAGTGGGTCACACCTGGAGAAATCATTTTCTAACCTGCAATCAAGACTGTTGAATTACTCCCTTCACTGGAAAGAATAAAATATTACCACATAAATTCGTGTTATGATAATGGCCCACTATGAATGCTTTGGTGTTCTTAATTTTCTTAAGATTTATTAATATTTCTGAAGTAATTACTAAATGCCAAGCAATATATTTTCTAATTTAATCTTCATTGACTTTTACTTTCACTTCAATTGAGCTACTCACTTTCATGGCTATAAACTTAACTTTTCAATAACTTAAAAATTGATTTCTAATGTTATAAACTTTAATGTTCCACTCTGTGACATGCTCTTTCAGACTCTCTCTTCCTTACTGCCAACTCACCTTCTCTTCTATTTCTTCCAGTGCCCCAGTATCTTGACTCTTCCATTTTCTTTTTTCTTTTCTTTTATTAAGTGGATACATGATAATTTCACATGTTGATGGGGTACAATGTGGTATTTTGATACATGACACATTGTTAAAACCTCTCCTCCCTATCTTTCCCAGTCTGGTAACCACTCTTCTACTCTCTATTAGATCAGTGTTTTTAGATTTCACATATGAATGAGATCATGTGATATTTGTCTTATCGTGGTTAGCTTATTTCACTTACCACAATGT
This sequence comes from Homo sapiens, assembly GCF_000001405.40. Taxonomy (NCBI): domain Eukaryota; kingdom Metazoa; phylum Chordata; class Mammalia; order Primates; family Hominidae; genus Homo; species Homo sapiens. Next base: position 29,071,922 of record NC_000020.11, on the reverse strand, counting down.
CGTCTATGCTCATTCATGTTGTCACAAGTGACACGATTTTACCCTTTATTATGACCAAATGTGCATATGATATAGTTTGGATATTTGTCCTGACCCATATCTCATGTTATATTGCAATCCCCACTGTTAGAGATTGGGCCTGGTAGGGGGTGTTTGGGTCATGGAGGTGGATCCCTCATGGCTTGGTGCTATCCTCATGATAGTGAACGAGTTCCCAAGCTTCCTGACTAGTCAAACAGATGTTGGCATTATGCTTCCTGTACAGCCCATGGAACCAGGAGCCAATTATGTCTCTTTTCTTTTAAATTATCCAATCTCAGGTATTTCTTTATAGTAATGCAAGAATGACCAAATACAGCATATATGCCACATTTTCTTTCTCCATTCATTCATTGATGGACACTTAGGTTGATTCTAGGCTATTGTGAATAGTGCTGTAATTAACATGAGAGTCCAGAAATCTCTTTGACATACTGATTTAATATTCTTTGAATATATACCCAGTAGTGGGATTGTTGGATTTTGTGATAAGTCTATTTTTAATGTTTTTGGAAGTTATATTGTTTTCCATAACAATTGCTCTAATTTACATTTCCACCAACAGTGTATGAAAATTCCCCTTTCTTCACATCCTTGCCAGCATTTGTTATTTTTTGACTTTTTCATAAAAACCATTCTAAGCAGGGTGAGATGATATCTCACTGTGGATTTGACTTCCATTTCTCTGACTATTAGTGATGATGAGCATTTTTTCATTTACCTGTTGGTGATTTTTTTTGTCTTGTTTGGAGAAATGTCTATTCAGCTGTCTTGACTATTTTCTAATCCAATTATTTGTATTTTTGCTATTGAGCTGTTTGAGTTTTCTATAAATTTGGGATATTAACCCCTTATGAAGTGAATAGTTTGCAGATATTTTCTCCTATTTTGTAGGTTGTGTCTTCACTCTTGTGATTGTTTCCTATGCAGTGCAGAAGTTTTTATTTGGTGTAATCCCATTTGTTTATTTTTGCTTTTGTTGTGCATGTCTTTCGATGTCTTTTCTAAAAAGTCCTTGCCCAGACCAATGACATATAACATTTCACCTAAGTTTGCTTCTAATAGTTTCATAGTTTGGGGTCTTACATTTAAATATTTAATTTATTTTGAGTTGATTTTTGTATATGATGAGAGATAGGGGTCTACTTTCATTCTTTTGTATGTGGATATGCACTTTCCCAGTACCATTTGTTGAAAAGACTTTCTTTTCCCAATTGAATGTTTGCACCTTTGTCAAAAATAAGTTGCATGTAAATACGTGGTTTTATGCCTGGGCTCTCTATTTTTGTTCCACTGGTCTACATGCCTGTTTTTATGCCAATACCATGCTGTTTTAGTTAAGATAGCTTTGTAATATATTTTGAAATTAGATAGTGTAATACCTCTAGCATTGCTCTTTTTGCTTAAGATTTATATGGCTATTTGGGGTGTTTTGTAGTTTCACATGAATTTTAAGATTTTTTTAACATCTGTGAAGAATGAAATTGGAAATTTGATAGAGATTATATTGGATTTATAGATTGATTTGCATAGTATGGTCATTTCAACAATATCAATTCTTTTAGTCCATGAACATGGGATATCTTTCTATTTATTTTAATTTTTTAATTGTTTTTATCCATGTTTAATAATTTTCATCTTTCCATGGCTTAATTTACTTGTAGGTATTTTGTTTTTTTTAATAGCTATTTTAAATGGGATTACTTTCTTGATTCCTTTTTCAGATAGTCTGCTATTGGTGTATAGAAATGTTACTGATTTTCTATGTTGGTTTTGTATCCTGAAACCTTATTGTATGCATTTACTATTTCTGATTCTCAGTGGTGTATTTAGGGTTTTTTTACATATATGATCATGTCATCTGCAAAGAGGGACAATTTGACTTTTTTTTTTACAATATGGATGCCTTTTATTTCTTTCTCTTACCTAATTGTTCTGACTAGGACTTCCATTACTATGTTGAAAAAAGTGATTAAAGTGAACATCCTTGTCTTGTTCCAGATCCTAGAGGCAAAGCTTTCAAGTTTTCACCATTCAGTAAAATGTTGTCTGTGGGTTATCACATATGGTCTTTATTTTATTATGTTCTTTTATAACTAATTTGTTAAAAGGTTTGATCATAAAAGGATGTCTAATTTTGTCAAATGCTTTTTCTGCATCTATTGAAACGATGATATGTATTTTATCCTTCATTGTTTAATGTGATGTATCAGATTTTATTGATTTACATGTATTAGACTATCCTTACCTCCCCGGGTAAATACCATTTGATTATGGTGGATAATCTTTTTAATGTGCTTTTGAAATATCATTGCTAGAACTGCTGGTTTTGAATGTTTGCATCTATGTTTATCAATGATATTGGCCTGGAGTTTTCTTTTATTTGCTGTTCTTGTCTCATTTTGGAATCAGGAAATGCTGTCTTCATAGAATGACTTTGGAAGAGTTCCCTCCTTTTCATTTTTTTGAATTAGTTTGTAAATAATTTGTATAATTTTTAAAAATATTTTGTAGAATTTGTCAGCGAAAAACACCAAGTCGTGAGCTTTTCTTTCTTCCTCTATTTTATTAGAGACAGGATCTCACTCTATCACTGAGGCTGGCATACAGTGGTGCAGTCATAGCTGACTGCAGCCTCAAACTCCTGGTCTTAAGTGATCCTCCTGCCTCAGCCTCCTGAGTACAAATACACACCACTATACCTGGATAATTTTTATTTTTATTTTTAGAGATGGAGTCTCGTTGTGTTGCCCAGGCTAATCTTGAACTCCTGGCCTCTAGTGATTCTCCTGCCTTGGGCTCCTAAACTGTGAGATTACAGGTGTGAGCTACTGTGTGAAGTCTTTTGGATTTTCCTTGACTGAGAGTCTAAATTGCTTCTTCAATCTCATTATTTGTCATTGGTGTGTTCACATTTTCTATTTCTTCTTTCTTCAATTTTGATAGGTTATATGTGTCCAGAGCTTATGTATTTCTTCTAAGTTTTTCAATTTATTAGTGTATAATTGTTTGTAGTACTTACTCATGATTCCTTATATTTCTCTAGAGTCTATCATAGTATATCCTTTTTCATATCTGATTATATGTGAATTTTCTCTTTTTTTCTTAGTCTGACAAAACATTTGTCAATTTTACGTTTTCAAAAAAGATTCCTCCATTTAATTAGTCGTTTGTATTTTTTGTCTTCATTTCGTATATTTGTGCTCTGATCTTTATATTCTTTTGCTAATTTGGGTCTTAGTTTGTTCTTGATTTTATAGTTCCTTGAAATACATTGTTAGATGGTTTATTCATTATCTTTCTTCTTTATTGATGTAGAAATGTATTGCTATAAACTTCCCTCTAAGGACTGTTTTACTGTATTTCATAAGTTTTCATATGTTCTGATTTCATTTTTATTTGTCTTCAGACATTTTTTAAATTAAATATTTTTCATTGACCCATTGGTTGTTTAAGGATATGTTGTTTAATTTGTATGTATTTGCACAATTTCTGAAGTTCCTCCTGTTGTTTATTTCTAGCTTTATTCCATATGGTTAAAAAACACGTGATATGATTTGATTTTTTGATTAGCTAAGACTTGTTTTGTGGTCTAACATATCTATCATGGACAATATTCCATGTGCAGGTGAAAAGACAGTGAATTATGCAATTGTTGGATGAAATGTTATGTAAATAACTGTTCAATTCTTTTGATCTACAGTGAAGTTTAAATGTTTCTTTGTTGAGATTCTCTCTCAATGATCTGTTCATTGCTGAAAATCGGATGTCGAGGTTTCTTACTAATGTACAGTTTTTTGTCTCTCCTTTTAGATCTATTAATGTTTGCTTTATATATTTAGGTTCTCCAATGTTGAGTGCATTATATATTTACAATTATTGTATTCTCTTGCTGTACTGAGCCCTTTATTATTACATAATGGCCTTGTTTGTCTGTGTTTACAGTTTTTTTACTTGAAGTCTATTTTATTTGATATAAATATAACTACTTCTGCATTCTTTGGTTTCCATTATCATAAAATATATTTTTTCATCTGATCACTTTCAATTTATGTGTGTATTTACAGGTGATGGGAGTCTCTTGTAGAAAGAATATAGTTAGGTCTTGTTTTTAATCCATTTACCCATTTTCTGTCTTCTTACTGGATAGTTTAATCTATTTCCATTCAAGGTAATTATTGATAGATAAGGACTTGTACTGCCATATACTGTTTTCTTGTTGTCTTTTAGAAGTTTTGTACCTTTTTGTCCCTTTGTTGTCTTCCTTTGTAGTTAAGTGATTTTCTCTGTGTGTTTTTGTTTCTTGTTCTTTTTTTTTTAGTGTATGTAATAAAAATGTTTGCCTTTTGGTTGCTATGAGGCACTTGAAGAATATTTTATAGTTTCAATAGGTAATTTTGAATGGATAACAACTTAATTTTGATAATAAGAAATGGGGAAAAGCAAACACTCAGCTCTTTAACTCAATCACTCCTCCACATTTTGCATTTTCTAAGTCTTAATTTACATCTTTTATATCACTTATCCCTTAACAACTTATTGTAGTTGTTATTTTTTTTTTGTATTTTAACCTTCTTACTAAAAACATGTAAGTGGATTGCATTCAATTATTACTATATTAGAGCATGCTGAGTTTGTCTGAATATTTATTTTTACCTGTGGATTTATACCTTCCAATTTTTTGTATTACATATTAGTGACATTTTCTTTCAGTTTGAAGACTGTTCTTTAACATTTCTTTTAAGGCAGGTATGGTTACAATGAATTCCTTCATCTTTTGTTTGTCTTAGAATGTTTTAACTGCTCCTTCATTTCTAAATGGAGCTGTGCTGGATACTGTATTCATGGTTGACAGTTTTTTTCTTCAGCACATGATTCTATTATCCTACTCTCTCCTGGTCCATATTGTTTCTGCTGAGAAGTCTGCTGCCAGGAACATTGGAATTCTCTTATGTGTTATATGCTTCCTTTTTCTTAATGCTTTCAGGACCTACTCTTTCTTTTTGACATTTGAAAGTTTAATTATAATGCGTCTTGTGGTTGTCTTATTCAGATTAAATCAGATTAGTGAGCTTTGACCATCCTAAACATCTTAATCCTTCTCCAAGTTTAAAAAGTTGTCTGTTGTTTCTCTGAATAAGCTTCTAACTCTTTTTCATTCTTAGTTCCACTGTAACACTGTAGATTTGTTTTTTTGATGGTGTCCCATGGATCTCATAAGTTTTCTTTGTTTCTTTTCATTTTTTTCTCTTTTCTACTCTGACAGTGTGTTTTCAAAGAGGATGTCTTTGAGCTCACTGTTTTTTTTCTTCTACTTGATCAGTTCTGCTCTTGATGCCCTCTAGTGCATTTTTCAGTTTGTTTACTGAACTTTCTACCTCCAGGATTTCCGTTTGATTTTTTTTCCCATTATTTTAAATTCTTTGTTGAATTTCTCATAAATTTCCATATTGTTTCTCTGTACTTTGTTGAAGTTCACAGATTTTTTTTTTTTAAAAAACAGCTATTTGAATTTTTTTGTTAGCCACATCATTCATTTGCATGTCTTTAGGTTCAGTTGCTGACACCTTGTTTCTCCATTTGGTGAGGCCGTTTTTCCTAGGCTATTCTTATTTTTTTAGATGTGCATCTCTGTCTACACATACATGAATTAAATATTTGTTTCAATCTTCTCAGTCTGGGTTTGTTTTTGACTGTTTCTCAGTGGGCTTGTTTAGAAATTCTGTCTGGATTTCCATTATATTCCATTTTAAATTAGGAGGTGCCCAAAGCAAAGGTTAGACACAAGTCTTGCAATGGGGCTTCACCACTGATGCAATGTAACTGGATGGGCCCATGGGTGATCCACAGAAAGGCTGCTGTCTGTGGGGGGAGAACAAGTCAGGCCATCAAATCTGGACAGTCTGTGTATCATGTTTCCCACAGCGTGGTGCCCATAAACAACCTGTCTTGTATAATATTTCCTCTGGTAGGAATGGCTAGCCACTGCTAAGTTTCATATAGTAAGTATTGCTAACCCAATCCCTTCTCTATGTCCCTAGCATGCCTCTGGTGGTTCAGCTCTGTTGACACTCATGGTGCTGCTTGTGGGCTGATGCAGGAGTGAGTCTACTGTGAAGGCACTCAGTATGGTGGAAAAAATATTCAACTTCTGCTCACTTTATTCAGTGTAAGAACTGTGAGTTCAGGAGGACTTTCTGCATATAATACCATTATGGCCTGGGGGAGGAGTATCACAGTCATGAGTACTGTTTCCCTTACTGTCCAAGCATAGTTTTACTCCTCTTTGCAGTCCAAAGGGGCTTCATTGACTCACTCATGTATTCAGGGTTCATTAGCTCTTGTAAAGATAATTTCATATGTGGATAGTTGTTCATATAGATGTGTCCATAGGGGTATGATTACTGGAGAGATCTACTCCACTACCTTGCTCTGTCCAAATCCTTCCCCTTTCCAACAAGAGTTTGCCACCTTCTAGTTTTCTTTTTTCTTAACCAAACTAAGTTTAGCCTTTTAATCCTTCACCCTCCTCCACTTCAAATGCCATTGCTTCTTTGTATGCTTATTGTATTTTCCATGCTATATGACTTTCAGCTGGTTATTTACAGTATGTAAGTTTTAATATCCTGTAAAAGGGGGATAATAATGGCATCCATTTGATAGGGATGTTAAAGATTCTAAATGACACTGTCCATGTTAAATAACTTTTTGAGATATATTGAGATGTTTCTGTACTTCCTTGTTCTGCCCTTCTTGTTGAACCAGAGGAATCTATTGCCATGAAAAGCAATAAAACTGTCATAGTAGAAATTAAAAGTGAGTAGGAACTTATTTAAAAATCATCATTCTCCTTTTCAATGCAAAAATAAGAACTAGAAAATTTTAATAAGGCAATAGTCCGAAGAAATAACTTATGGGAGATAATATGGGTTTTTTAATCTTAAAGGGTTCTTTCATATATTCAAGCTTCGAGATTGGTTGCCCTGAATCCTACTAAAATTTCAATGTAAGTTTTAGAGCAGGAGGAAAGAGTCAAAGAAAAAATTGCACTGGAAAAAGTTAAATAAGTAAGGAAGATATTATTAAAGCTATTGCAATACTGGAGAGAGTCCAGACCTAGTCTGAACTCAGCTCCCCTAATACAAAGGGCCGTGGAGTTTTTGAAAGTGAGGGTAAGGGGGCGATCATAGGCCACCTGTCTTTGCTAACTGTCTTTTCTCAAAGGAAAAATAAACTTTCTTTTATCTTTATGATATAAGGTAATTTTTACAACTTGGAGCAAGATTAGGCTCTTACTCTCTCATGGAGACTGGGAAATAAGGTATTATCTTTCTGGAGGATTATGTTTGAAAGAGATGGCTCCCAGATCCTTGAAAAAGGAAATTTTCTGCTTACAAATTGCACATGCCACTTCTACCTGCATTTCACTGGCCAAACAGGTCACATGTCTAAATCTGACCTTTCCTTCAATAGGACAGAAGTGTATAATCTTCTAGGAGATAGGGCCACTACAGCAGGAAGACCAGATAATGGGAGAATGGTAATATAATCTACCACAATGACCACAGTGAAAACATTAGTAATCCTCAGGGTTAAAACAAGTCTTCTTGGACACTTAGGTTGATTCTAGGCTATTGTCAATAGTGGAATAACAAAAAATAAAGAGAATAGCCCAGCTAGACAATTCACAGTAACTTATGGCCTAGACAATTTTATTTCTTGATCAACACAACTCTTTATAGATGCCTGTGGTCCAAAAATGCAGATTCCTAATCGTCCCCAAAAAGAAGGGATCCTCTGCAAGGCAACCTCGGAGGGAGTTTAGGATTGTTCTGAGGTAGTGAAAGCCATTGAGATTCACATGTAAAAGGGTATAGAAAGGGAATCCACATGTTTTGATCCCTCCATGTGCTGGGTATAACTTGGTCTTCACTACATTGCACCACCTTTGGTGTTAGAGAGAACTGGATTTGAATCCCAGTTCCTTCACTCATTATGATTTGATGGTGAATGTGTTTTTAACTCATCTGAACCTTAGTTTGCTCATCTACAAATGATGGGATTGTTATGAGACTTGCATAAGGTAAGTGTTTAAAAATCTGGGAATAATCCTGTAATTTAAAAGACGGGGATGTGATGAGGCTTCAATAAGGTAAGTGTGTAAAAATCTGGACACAATGTTACTAATTTTGTAGGTTTTCAATATATAGAGAAGGAGGATTATTTTTCTCTCATTTAATTTTTAGAACAAGTTTATAAAATTGGTATTATTCATATTTTTGAGATAATCAAAGGATCAGTAAGTTTAAATAAATCACCATAGTAACAAAGCAGTTCACAATATATTGACTGGATAATTGCTAGTGAAAAGTAGCAATGATGATCACATTGAAAATCTTTTGTTAGGTGGTGGTTTTCTCTTGCATAAGCCTCTTCATTTGTTGAAACCATAGATTCTAAGTTTGCTCTATCAAAGTGATCATTAGAAAAATATAATGTACTTAGTGTATAAATTTTAGAAAATTTCCTTTTCGATTCTCTTAATTTGATTGAATATGTGCATTTTGAATTATGAATGTAAATATGAATACGTATGACATATGAAATATGACTTGACATCACAGAGTAAACTTAGATCGTGGCAACGTTTTTTTCTGAAAGCACCTGCAGAAATGTATCTTCTTTCTAGTTTCCAAAAAACTCAGAGGTCATGGGGGAAGAGGGGACTTTGGCTGTCAGACAATGCATGAGGTACATTAGGATACAGTAATTTCAACATAATTCATATTCATAATTCACAGTGAGGAAACCTGAAAGTTGCTACCACTTACCAATAAATGAAAAGTGGGGCAGTGTCGCTGGGGGTCGTGGCTTTGTGAGCCAGTGCCTGGACTCCCACGTCACAAATGGAAGGGCAGCGTGTGGAAGGAACTCAAGACCTGATTGGTTCTTCCTAAGCAGGACACATCAGGTTGTCAGGGCAACCGGCCTTCAGTTGGTGGCCTTCAGTGGGTGCCTTAAGTTGGTGGCATTTGGTTGCCTTTCCTGGGGATAGGGGGCAGTTGCTCAGCTCTGCAGACGTGGGGGCAAGCGAAGGCCCAAGCTGCCTCGAGAAGAGCAGAGGTGCCCCATGGGGACCACGGTGACCAGTCGCATGTGCACCAAAGCCAGCCCTGCAGCACATTGGCGACCAGAAGACGCCCAAAGGTAGGGAGGCGACAGATACCGCTTGGCCTCAGGAGCTTCTCTGGCCGTTGCTGAACCAAGGTTCCCCCAGAGACATCCACAGCCTGGGGCTCCTCCCTTCTTCACCTAGTTCCTTTCCTAGGCCCAGGCCCCAAGCCTGAGGACTGGCTCTGCCTGAGGTCTCCATCCCTTCGTCTTTCCCTGTTGCATCCAGTCAGTTTCTTTTCCCCTCCCTACCCATATGCCCAGTTCTGGACCCTCTTCTTCTTCCTAGAGGCTGGCCAAAAACTAAGTTTTCAAAGTACAAAATGGATGCTACAGATTTCGTTGCTGTAGAGGAAATGTCTGACAGCTCTTGTGTTTAAACTTAAGTAGCTACACCGGGACTCACAGTTTCATAACTTGAGTTCTAGACCAGAGCTCTCTGCCCTAAAGCAACAGAAAGGGGTTAGAGGTACTCTTCTTGATTCTAATAATAAAAAATGATTTTTTTTTGTACGGACAAGGTCTCATTGTGTTGCCCAAGCTTGTCTCAAACCCCTGGCCTCAAGTGATTCACCCACCTTGGCCTCCCACACTGCTGGGATGACAGGAAGAGCCACCACACTTGGTCATTGGAGGTGCTCTTGCTTTGTGTGTTTTGGCTGGTCTTCAGGCGCAGCTGTCTGTAAGATGCTCCTGCAGTATATTTCTATGTCTTTCTGCACAGATTCAGTGGATCCTGTGATTTTTTTTACATGGAATAGCCCCTTTATTTTTTGGCAGAGAAGCTAGACAATTCACAGCAACCTATGGCCTAGTAAATTTTATTTCTTGATCAACACCACTCTTTATAGATGCTTGTGGTCCAAAAATGCAGATTCCTAATCATCCCCACGAATAAGGGGGCCATTGCAAGGCAACCTGGGAGGGAGTTTAGTATTGCTCTGAGGCAGTGAAAGCTATTGAAATTCCCACATGAGGTGGCAGAAAAGGGAATCCACATGTTTTGATCCCCCCGTGTTCTAGGTGTAACTTGGTCCTCGTTAAATTGCACAATTTTTGGCATCAGAGAGAACCGGATTTGAATCCCAGTTCCATCACTCATTATGATTTGATGGTGAACGTGTTTTTAACTCGTCTGAGGCTCAGTTTGCTGATCTATAAAAGATGGGATTGTTACGAGGCTTCCATAACGTACATGTGTAAAAATCATGGCAAATGCTTGTAATTTAAAATACAGGGTTGTCAGGAGACTTCTATCAGGTAAGTATGTAAAAACCTGGACGCAATGCCTATAATTTTGTTAGTATTCAATATATGGAGACGGAGGATTATTTTTCTTTCATTTAATTTTTACAGCAACTTTATAAAATTGGTGATACTCATATATTTGAGATAATCAAACCAAGGATCAGAAAGACTAAATAAATCAGCATAGTCACAAAGCAGTTCACAATACATTTACTGGATAATTTCTAGTTAAAAGTAGCAATGATGATCACATTGAAAATCTTGTATTATCTGGTGGTTTTCTCTTACATAAGCTTCTTGGAATTTAGTAAGATAAGTTGCAGCTCAAAAAGCAGATCCGTAGAATATTTAGTTCCAGAGATTGTAGTGGGAGCCCAAGTATTGAATGAGTTTTGTTGGGAACAAGGTGTAGGCTGAGAATCTAAGCAAGCTTCAGGTGGTGGTTTTCAGTTGGTAGGCAGTGGCAGAAGGAGGAGGAGCTCCGTCTGTGCTCTCTCTTCCCCCAGTCACAGCCCCCAGACTTGTTGCATCTAGGCCCTTCTTAGTTAAACCAGACCGGTTGACAGGTGTATTTAGCATTTAGCAGACAAGTCAGCTCAGGGTAGGCGGGTGAGGTGGGGTGTGGGCTGCTAGTACAGTGCTGCCCTTTGACCCAGGGCTGCCCGTGCCCATGGGGCTATTCCATATATTATATATATACATAATATTTTTATATTTATGTATATAAGCCTGTTGGTTTGTTAAAACCATGGATTCTAAGATGCTCTATCAACGTGATCATTAGAAAAATGTGATGTACTTAGTGTGTAAATTTTAGAACATTTCTTCTGTTAGTCTTGTTAATACTCAATTCTTTTCTAAAACACCTAACACAAATCTCCATAGCTTTTAATCGAATTATATTATAATTTGGATTTTCTGGTCTGCCTATCTTCCAAATAATAAAGTTCTTAAAATTAATTTTCTATTGCTGCCATAACAAATTACCACAATTTTGTGGCTTAAATCAAAGACTTACGACCCTATACTTCTGTAGGGCAAACCTCTGACAGTGGTCTTACTGGGGTTAAGTCAAGGTGTTGTCAGGGCTGTATTGCTTTCTGGAGGCTCTAGAGAGAATCCATTTCCTTTTCCAACATTTAGATGCTGTCCCTATTCCTTGGATCATGGGACAATCCCTCCATCTTCAAAGCCAGTAATGTGGGATGTCTGTGACCATTGTTCTGCAGTCATATCACCTTCTGACTGTAGCTAGGAAAGATTCTCTGATTTTATAGACACATGCAATTAGATTGGCCCCCAAGATAATCAAGGATAATCCCCCTAACTCAAGGGTTAATCACATCTCCAAAGTCCCTTTTGCCCCATGTAAAGTAATATGGTCACAGATTCCAGGGACTGGAACATCTTTATGGGGTCATTATTTTGATTGTCATAAAGGCAAAGTCTTGGACTTATGCATATCTAGATTTTCTTTGCTTAATTTCAGAGCCTAGAGCACATTAGACTCTAAATAAATGTGAATGAGTGATAAATATTATATTTACAGATTGCTGCCACATTACAATTCTGTCCTCCCACTGGTGGTGGAATCCTATGTACATTTTACCATCTCCATTTTGCATTCATACTGAAAATGGCTATGTTATTCCTTTCACCTGGGTGATTTGAAGCCATCTCTCTATTTCTATTTGTAGAGATCTTATCTATCAAGCCCTTCTCAAATGCCACTTCAAAAAACTTTTTCTAATCTCCAATTATTAGTCAATTTATGCTCTTATAACAAAATAACACAGACTAGGCAATTTATGAAAACCAGACGTTTATCTGTCACAGTTCTGGAGAATAGGAAGTCCAAGATCAAGGCATTGGCAGGTCTGATGTCTGGTAAGGGCTGTTCTCTCCGTTCAAGATGGTGTCTTGATGCTGCATCTTCCAGAGACAAGGAACACTGTTTCCTCACATGGTGGAAGGCGGGAGAGCAAGAGGGATGAAATCCCTCCATGGAGCTCTTTCATGAGGGCTCCTAAACCCATTCCTGAGGTAGGAGTCCTGATGGCCTCATCACTTCCTATAGGCTCCACCTCAACACTATCACATTGTCAACGCTGAATCTCGGAGGAGCCACAGTGAAACCACAGCACCAATCAAGTATGATCTTTCTCTCCTTAAAAAACCCCTCATATGTTTAGACCTCCCATGCACTTTTATACGTTATGTCTCATGGTTTCTTCCTGTACAAATAAGGTGCTATAAATGGATAGCTATAGTTTTGGGTTTCATTTCAACAAAACCCCCTTCCTAGTTTTTTGAACCCCAAGCGAAATATGAGGACAGGCCCCACCTTCCATTACAAAAGCTGAAAGGGAGTGCATGATCCTTTTTCCAGTTTCTTGGCCACTCACGTGTGGGCACATATCTAGGCCCAGCCAACTGATGGCTCTTTATTAGAACTTGGAACCCGGTGAAATGATGCAAAAGACCTGAAAGAATCAGAGATGATTCTGAGAAATTGAGCAGAGATGCAGTTCCAGGAATGTGGCAGCAAGTGCCTAGGTTCAGCAGAGCCCAGCTACATGGTGACAAGTGTCAAATGACAGCATCCTAGTGGTGACATCCCAAGATCTGCTTCCGTCGAATGAACTTGGCTATGCTGAGTTTCCCTCAGTTCTTACCTTGCTTCTCCAGGATCTTCAATAATTTTGTGAACTATTCAATATCCTTTCATTGAATTCCTGTTTTGCTTAAGTTGTCTAGAATTTGTTATTTTCAGTGAAAAGTATAAACCAATTATGCCCTCACATTAAAACACACTCCACTTAGGCATCTCCTCTGATCTCACTGGAGAAAAGTGTGGACGTTATTTGTAATTTGACTCAGAATCATAGGATTAGTTTGGTACTAGTAACAATGGAGATAAGTAACTAACTTTTTGTGAAAATTCTTCCTGGGGTGAAACAAAATCTATTGTGGAAACTCTTTCCAATTATCTCTGGAAATTTATTAAGTGACCTAGTATATAATGATAATTTACCATGATATTTGATAAAATCGTTTTGTGTGTTCAGAATAATTTCTTTTTTCTTTACCTTTGAAAATAATGCGTTGATAGTTAATTTTCTCCTAAATTGTCTGTTTTTATTTCCATAAAAGGTATTTATTGAATGTCTCCTTACTTTTAATATAACTAGGCATTGTGTGATCAAAGTAAAATAAATATGTTCTTGTTTCTGGAATTACTAAAGCTTTGAAAATGGACTTATCGACCTCAAACCAATGGGACATATTCCTATGTGGCCTGCTCCTCTGTTAGGGTTCCCAGGGTAAGTGGTGATTCCTTTTCTGGCTTTTTAAAGATTTTAGAAATGCAGTTTCTGCTGTGAGCCACTAGGCGGAGTATTTCAGAGCAGGGTTTGTGGGAGTACAAAGCTAACTTCTGCTGCTTTTGCTTGATGCTTCTGCAGCTTCCTTGACTACTGTGGATGATAAGTAATCATTTTCTTCCTCTTCTTTATTTTTCCCCCTCACTCTTTGGAGTGAACGTGAAACATTTAGGAATTTTGTTGATCAACATATACCCTGTTTATGAAAATCCGGCTAAGATAATATGGTAGGAATCCTTTGGTTATAAATAATAGAATTCAAACTCAAACTGTTCTAAGCCAAAAAAAATATTAATTTGTGGACTCGTATAATGGAAAAATCCAGGGTATAGCTTCAGAATGGCTGAAAGTAGGAACTCAGGGCTTGGCTCTTCTCCTCTTCCTTGCTTTTTTCTTCCCCATTGATTTTACTCTCAGACAAGTTTTCCCTTTGTGCTGCAATGTGGCCATCATCACTCCTCCAGTTTACATTTCCTTAGTTCCATAGCCCCAGAATAAAGCAAAAACAGAAACACTTCTAATAGTTTCAATAAGAGACTAGAGATTGACTTTGGGTGTGAGGCTTGGATTTCATGTCCATCTCTAGTTTCATCTGTGCCAGGATTAGAAGTCTATTCATTGGCCAGGCCTGTGTCACGAGCTCATACAGGGTTTCCACTGTCCACACAGTGCTTTGCAAGTATTAGAAAATGGCTCCCCTTTCTCCAGTTAGATGCAGCCTTGTATCGGTGCATGTGGCTTGGAGAAGAGCATGCAGGCTGGATTTCAACCCCCCTTTCTCCCTTAGCTGGGTTTCTTCCTTGAGTGAACAACATACTTGTTAGTAGCTGTCCTGTGCTTATTCCTGAAACTGGGGGTGAAATCAGCCCCCACGTGAAAACTGAAGGACAGAAGGTGGCTTCATCTAGGGTATCAGATAATGGCTAATAACAAAGGGAGGGGACAGTGGGTGCTGTGTGAGCAAAAGGAGCAAAAAATAATCCTAACCTGTCTAGACTTCATCTCAGAAGCCATATACAACCTTCTTCAATGGAAATATTTAACACTTCAGGAGTGCCAAGAAGGCCATAAGGAGCATATCTCTTAAGAACATAAGTTAGGACATTCTAGAATGTATGCTTTATGGATTTACCTTGTAAATATATAACATTGACTAATACACAAAGAAAATATATTGTAGAGTAACATAGATGACAGAAGTTGAAATACATGACATTCTACCGCAGTCTATCATTATTTTCTAACTTATCAAAATACTCAGAGGATCTTTTTTTTTCATATTGATAAATTTCTAACCAGAGCTCTATTTACTCATGTCTTGAACAACAGAGTATTTGCATATATGTCTGAAGAGGGAAGAGAAAGAAAATGATTCCAAAAAAGCTGATAACATTAATATAGCTTTCTATAGAAGACGTAAATTTGCAACCACAAATTAAAAACTTATAGGAGATGCACAAAATGTGAAGAAAAATAAATGAAACCAAACCTCTACAAGAAATAACCAAACTAAGAAGACAGCAAGAGAGGAAAAAAAAGAACTGCAAAACATATGAAAAACAATTAACAAAATGCAAGTTACTCCTTACTTATCAACAATGACTTTAAATGTGAAAGGATTAAACTATCTAATTAAAAGACATAGAGTGGCACAATGCATAAAAGATACTCATCAGTACATATTTATAAGGGAGTCACTTTAGATATAAAGATACATAGAGGCTCAAAGTGAATGGATGGGAAAAGATACTCTATGCAAATGGTAACCAAAAAAGAGCAAGGGTATCTATACTTAGATCAGAAAAAATAGACTTGAAATAAAAAACTGTCATTAGAGACTAAGAAGGTCATTATACAATGATAAACGTTCACTTCAATGGGAAGATTGTAAATATATATCCACTCAACATTAGAACGCCTAAATATATGAAGTTAATATCAGCAAAGCAAAGGGGAGAAATCAGTAACACTAAAATAATAGTAGCCAACTTCAGTACCCCAAATTCAATAATGGATAGAATATCTAGGCAGGAATAAAAAAAGAGGAAACAGCTGACTTGAACAACACAGTAGATTAAACACTGACATATACAGAACTTTCCATCCAACAGCAGCAGAATATACATTCTTCTCAAGTGCACACAGAATATTCTCTGAGATAGATCAAGTCTTAGGTCACAAGGCATCCTACAAGTTTAAGAAGTTTAATATAATGCCAAGTATCTTCTCAGACCACAATGGAATAAAATTAGAAGTCAATAACAAAGAAAACAGAAACATTTACAAAAATGCAGAAACTAAACAACACACTCTTGAACCACCATTGGGTAAAAGAAGAAATCAAAAGGGAATTTTAAAAATATCTTGAGACAAACAAAAATGAACATACAACTCAACAAAACTACAGGATGCAGCAAAAGAAGTGCTGAGGGGGAAATGTTACAATGATAAATACCTACATTAAAAAATAAGAAAGATCTCACTCGAACAACCTAACTTCACAAATAAACAATTAGGAAAAGAAAAACTAACTAAACCCAAAGTTAGCATAATGAAGTAAATAATAAAGATTAGAATATAAATAAAATAACTATAAAATAAAAAACAATGGAAAAATCAACAAAGCTAGAGTTGAATTTTTGGAAATACAAACAAAAATAACAAACCCTTAGCTACACAAAGAAAAAAAGAGAAACTCAAGTAAATATAATCAGAAATGAAAATGGAGACATTATAACAAACGTACAGGAATACAAATGATTATAAAGGATAATTAAGCAATTATATGCCAATAAATTGGATAACCTAGAAGAAATGGATAAATTCTTAGAAAGATGCAATCTACCAAGGTGGAACAAAAAAGAAATAGAGCAGACCAAAAGCAAGCAAAGAGATTTAACCAGTAATCAAAAATTTCCCAACAAAGAAAAGCCCAGGTGCAGATGCTTTCATGGGCAACTTCTACCAAATATTCAAAGAAGAACTAACACCAAAATTTCTAAAACTTTTCAGAAAAAATAGAAGAGAGAATACTCTCAAACTCATTTCATGAGGCCGATGTTACCATGACTTAAAAGCTAGACGAAGACAACACAAGGAAAAATAATTACAGACCAGTATCCTTAATGAATATAGATGCAAATATTCTCAAAAAATACAAACTAGCAAACTGAATTCAAAAGCATATTGAAAAGGTCATACACCATGACCAATTGGAATTTATCTATGGGATACAAGGATGTTTCAATGTGTAAAAATTAATAATGTGGTATACCCCATTAACAGAACGAAAGCCAAAATAACATTCCAATAGATGCAGAAAACACATTTGACAAAATTCAATATACTTTCATGATAAAACTCAGCAAAATAAGTATACAAGAAACTTACTTCAACACTATAAAGGCTGTATATGAAAAACCTATATCTAATATTATAATCAATGGGGAAAAACTGAGAGCTTTTTATTTAATATCTGGAACAAGACAAGGATGTCTATTCTCATCACTCCTATTCAACATAGTACTGGAAGTCCTAGCCAGAGCAATCAGGCAAGAGAAATAAAAGGCATCAAAATTGAAAGGAAAGATGTAGTTACCTCTGTTAACAGAAGACATGATTATTATACATTGAAAACTCTAAAGACTCCACAGAAAATGGTTAGAAATAATACAGTCAGTCTTTCATATCTGCTGGGGATTTGTTTCAGGAACCCCTCAGATAACAATATCTGTGATGATCAATTCCTTCACATAAAATCGTGTACAGTTGGCCCTATGTATCCATGGGTCAACATCTTTGGATTCAAACCACCACAGATGGAAAATATGTACAAGTTAGGTTCATGGTTGATTGAGTTCATGGTTGCAGAACCCATTGATATAAAGGACTGACTATATAATAAATTTACTAAAGTTGTAGGATACACAATTGGCATACAAAAATCACTGCTATTTCTAGACACTAACAATGAATTGTCTGAAAGGGAAATTTAAAAAACAGTATCAAATAAACTACTTTGGAACTAACTAACCAAAGAAATGAAAGACTTAAACACTACAAATTATAAAAGATTGATGACAGAAATTTAAACCAAAGTAAATTGAAAGACAACCCATGGATTGAAAGAGTTAGTACTGTATTATTAAAGTGTCCATATTACTCAAAGCAATCTACACATTTAATGTAATCCGTATCAAAATCCCAATGGTATCTCTCACAGAAATAGAAAAAAAATACCAAAATTCATATAGAATCACAAAAATCCCTGAGTGGCTGAAGCTATTTTGAGCAAGAACAAAGCTACAGGTATCACACTTCCTGACTTCAAATTAAATTACAAAGCTGTAGAAAGAAAAACACTGTGGTATTGGCATAAAAACAAACACATGAACCAGTGAAACAAAATAGAGAACCTAGGCATAACCCACACATTTGCAGCAGTTGATCACCCTGGAAGGTGACAAGGAGACACTATAGGCAGAGGATATGCTCTTGACCAAATGGTGTTAGGAAAGCTGGATGTCTACATGTAAAAGAATGAAATCGGATCCCTAGCTCATGACTTATGTAAAAATTAACTCAAAATGGATTAAACGTTTAAATGTAATCACTGAAACAAAACTCCTGGAAGAAGACAGGAGAAAACCTTCTTGACATTGGTCTTGGCAATAATTTGTTTAGATATGATGCCAAAAGCACAGGCAACAAAGGCAAAATAGATAAATGAAATACATCGAACTAAAATGCTTCTGCACAGCAAAGGAAACAACTAATGAAATGATAAGGCCACCTATGAAATGGGGAAAATGTTTGTAAACCATATCTCTTATAAGGAGTTCAAAAAATAAGAAGGACACATACACATCAATTCCAAAATCATAAATAAACTAATTTTATTTTAAGGCAAAGAACGTATATAAATACATCTCAAAAGAAGAAATTCTAATGGCTAACAGGTATAAGAAAATGTGCTCAACATCTCTAAACTTCAGAGTAATGCAAATCAAAACCACAATGAGATATCATGTCACACCTGTTAAAATGGCTATTATCAAAAAGAGAAAAGATAAGTGTTGGTAAGAATGTGGAGAAAAGGAAACCATTATACACTATTGATGGGAATGCAAATTAGTAAAACACAGAAAACAGTATTGAGGTTCCTCCAAAAAAAATTGAAAATAGCACTGGCCTGGTTTGATGGCTCACACCTGTAATCCCAGGATTTTGGGAAGCCAAGGCAGGAGGCCAGGAGCTCCAGACCAGCCTGGGAAACATAGCAAGACCCCATCTCAGAAATAAAATTAAAATTAACCAGATATGGTGTTGTACACCTGTAGCCCCAGCTACTCAGGAGGCTGAGGTAGGAGGATTGCTTGAGCCCAGGAGTTCAAGGCTGCAGTGAGCTATGATCTTGCCACTGGACTTTACCCTGGATAGCAGAGTGAGACCCGGTTTCAAAAATGAAAAAAAGAACTACCACATAATCCAACAATTTCACTTCTGGATATATGTCCAGTGAAATTGACATAAGAGTCTTAGAGAGGTGTCTGTCATCCTCTGTTCATTGCGGCATGACACACAATGACCAAAATAGGAAAATAACCAAAAGGTCCTTTGGCAGAGGAACAGATGAATGGGTAAAGAAAATGTGACGTGTATACATAAAATGAAATATTATACAACCTTAAAAAAGAAAGAAATACTTCTATTTGTGAAAACATTGATGGAGCTGGAAGATATTGCGCCAAGCAAAAATGCAAGACACAGAGACAAATACTTCATGATCTCACTTACATGTGGAATCTACAACAGTCAAATTCATGAAAACAGAGAATAGGACAGAGGTTGCCAGGGGCTCAGGGAGGGGAAATGGGGTGATGTTAATTAAATTGTGCAATGTTCAAGTTATAATTTCTGGAGATATAATGTACAACGTGGAACAACACTGTATCATATTCTTGTGTTCTGCTAAAGGACTAGATCATAAATTAATTACTGTCAACACACACACAATGGTAAATATATAGAGATAATATGCTAATTTGCTTGATTGTGGTGATCGTTTCAAAAAGTATAGAAATATCAAAACATTAAGTTACCTTAAATTTACACAATTTGTATATGTCATGTTATCATGATAAAGCTGTGAAGAAAGATTTAGTAAATCATGTCTAAAACCTGGGAACTTTCTCATGACAGGGAGGGCTGGAGTAGGAAAATGGAATTTTGCAACAAGGATAGGGTGAGGGACATGGGGAAATTATTGATCAAGTATTTAAGAAATGACCTGGGTGGAAGCTACAACAAAGGGTATGAGATTTAGCGCATCAGTCCTCAAATTTTTGGTTTCAGGAACACTTTACATTTATAAAAGTTATTGAGGACCCCAAAGAGCTTTTATTTATTTGGATTATGTCTATCTATATTTATCATAGTAAACATTAAAAGTGAGAAATTAAAAAAATATATTTATATGTTTACATAAATCACATTTTTATTTAAAATTATCATTTTTAAGCAGTAAAGTTTGTGAGAACAGTGACATTGTTTTATATTTTTAGGTATGTCTTTAATGTCTGGTTTAATAGAAGAAAACTTGTTCTCCTTTCTACTTCTACGTTTAATTTCTTTTGACATCACATGTCAGGTAGCCTCTGGGAAACTCCAATTATACTTGAGAGACAAGGAAAGTGGAAAAGGTAAACAAAACCTGTGTATTTTTATGAAAAGACTTTTGACCTTGCAGAGCCCCTGGAAGGGACTCAGGGACTTCTCAGGGTTCTCTGGCTCATGTGTTCACAGAGTAGAGGGTAAGTCCGCAAGAGAAAGCAGTGATTGGGTGTGGGAGGTCTTGCTGAGAGGTGGTAGAGAAGAGGTTGGATGTGGAGAAAGTATGGTCCTTGTTTTCATTTATTTTCCCTTTCCTTTGGCCTCTTGTTGCTGGGATTTCCTCTTTAGATGATCGTATCATAAATTAGAAATAGCATTAATGAACATTCTTGATACTGCCTAATGAAAGTTTTTGTTTTGTCTTTCTGAGTCTTGATACATTTCAAGAAGTCTTCTATCTCATTTATTGTTCCCACCCAAATTTGGAATTTAAGAAGAGTCGATATAGCTATATTTAGATCATTTATCTCTCTGAAGACATTTTGGGATCATTTATAAATCTCTATAAACAATGCTCTGATGTCTCTTTATTTTGTTTAGAGACTGGGTCTTGCCGTGTTGTCTGGAGTGGAGTGGCTAGGCCGTAGCTCACAATACACAATACAATCAAACTCCTGGGCTCAATGTTATCTTTCCACTCAGCCTCCACAGTAGCTAGGTCTGCAGGTATGTGCCAGCACGCCTAGCTTTTGATTACTATTATTATTTTTGTAGAAATGAGGGTTTCATTATGCTGCCCAGGCTGGTCTTCCAACTCCTGGCCTCAAGCAATCCTCCTGCCTTCCGCCGTCTGGGGAGCTGAGATTACATGTGTAAGCCACCATGCTGGTCCTGATGTCATTTAAATACAAACATGATACTATATTCCTTGTAGAAAGTGCCACATAAATATAATTTTTTTTGAAATAGGGTCTTGCTGTGTCACCCAGGCTGGAATGCAGTGGTATGATCACAGTCACTGCAGCCTTGACCTCCTGGGCTTAAGCGATCCTCCCACCTCAGCCTTCCAAGTAGCTGGGACCTGAGGTATGAGCCACCAAGCCCAGCAAATTTTTCAATTTTTGGTAAAGATCGGCATGTCACTGTGTTGCCCAGGCTGGTCTTGAACTCTTGGGCTCAAGTTACCCTCCGCCCAAGTCTCCCAAGGTGCTGGGATTACAGGCCTGAACCACTGCACCGGGTCCTAAAAATTCATTCACTGTTTGTCCACAAGGTGCTGCTGTTTCCTTTCTAATAACATGAGACAGCTCACTCAAGAACATCAAGAACATGACATTCTCTAAAAAAAGTCACAGTAGTTCCTTTTCCATAACTATTAAGTTTTCAAGGTGTTATCAGGTTTATTTCATAGAAAGAATGTGTAAAATTTTTCATGTAGAGACATAATCTTTTAGCAATGAGTTAGTTAAAAAATTTGGTATTGTCAGAATGAAGATTTCCTTTTCCCTATAATTTTATTTATTATAATTATATTTTTAATGATATCAATATATCAATTGCTTTATAAAAACTCCTTACATTATATACCCAATGTCTGTGAAATCGTCTGCTTTGAAGCAGAGTGAAATAATCAATCAGCATACTGGGTCTAACACAGTTCCTTCAATTTTAAGAAAGCTATTTACACTCCGATTTGCAAGTTGGACTTTACAAAAATTAAAGCATTTATAAAATATACTAACCATGATTGTTTTAAAAAGTAATGTTTTTTTATGGTAAGGAAATAAGTTGAAGCTCTGTGTTGGAAAGTGCAGAAAACAAATCAGCATTCTTTATAAATAGATTTTGCTGCTGGTTTAGAAATTACCTAATGTGCTTTATAGATGATGGAAAAAGAAATCAGCTGCAGTTAGCAGTGTGCATACATCGTATTTGCTGTGCCACTTTCAGAAAGTTATGGAATATTGGCAGGTCAGGATTCTCAAAACGATAAGTTCTAAGAAGAGGCTAAATGAAAAAGAATTTTAAAAGCAAACCTAGTTGTTTAATATAAACATGGGCGAGTTATGGGGAAATCCTGGACTGGGAGGTAGCAGATCTCTGTTCTGACTTTTACTAAGTCATTGGCTGCTACAGCAGGCCAAGCAGACATAACTGCCAAGGCTGCCTGGGAGTTGGGTTGATTGGCAATTGGCACAGGGAGAGAGGACAACTGCCAGAGTAATGGCCAAATATTCAGGGTTTCATGTTCAGTGAAGCAGGACGTGCATTTGTACCCCAAGGGCAAAACTGACGCTAGAATCTGGGCCTCCTGGTTGAATCTGAGTCCACAGTCTGATGATTAGGATGAAGTAGTCTCAGAAATTCAAGCCAGCCAGAACCCATGAGGTGTGCTCTGCAGACATTGGCTGGCGAGCTGCATTAAGATGTTTCATTCCATTGAGCAAACATTCCTTGATTGGTTAGTTTAGCATCCCACAAGAACAGAGACAAATTCTTCAGAATTTGTCCATGAAGCTATAGTCCCAGAGCTTATATTTCAAGGGAGGAAACAGCATCTCAGGATGGTAGGTGATTACAGCTAAACCGAATTCTGAAAATAAAAGGAACCCTATGTCTTTGTCTGCTCAGGCTGCTGCCACAAACAACTGTAGACTGAGTGGCTTAAACAGCATATACTTGTTTCTCACAGTTGTGGGAATTCAAAGATTAAAATCTGGGCCAGCAGAGCCAGTGTCTGGTGAAGGCCCTCTTACTGGTTTGCAGGTGTTCTTGTTGTATCTTCACATGGCTGAGAGAAGAGGGCTCTAGTCTCCTACTCTTCTTATTAGGATGCTAACCCCATTGTGGGAACTCCATCCTCATCAAAACCAAATTACTTCCCAAAGGTCCTCCTTCTAATGCCATTCTATTGTTAGAGTTTCAACTTGTGCATTTGTTGAAGGAAACATGCAGTGCACAGCATCTAATCTAATCAAATCAGTTGTCCCTTGAATAAAATTATAGCTCCTATAACAAGACTTAAAATTATGACTTTTTTGTTGCCAAAACTGTCTATCTGGATTTGCTAGAAATCAAACATACTTGAATATTTCCTCTAAAGATTTTCTCATTCCTACCCTATTGTGTATATTTACAGAATTCTTAAATAATTACATATACAAGGCTTCTATTAGCTCTGACGAGAGCGTCTATTAACTTTGACTATTGCAAGCAGCTTTATAGCACTGTAGGTAAAAGCATGTGCTTTGAAATCATACAATAAATTTATTAAATGCTAAGGACTTTATATTCACTGTTTAATTTTATCATCTTAATAACCTTCATTATTACCTCCATTAAACCCTATTTGTTGGCTACTTACATTATTCTGATTTTGCAAATCTAAATTTGAGAGGCTTTCCCAATGTCACATAAGTTAATAAGTGGCATAGCTGGGGTTTGAATTAAAGTCTACCGGATTCCAAGATCTACTTACCATTGTTCTACAATATATACTTTTTAGGTACCTGAGAATGCTAACAACCTTTCTTTTGAAATCTGCCTTCTTTCTGGATAGCAGCTTTATTAATATATGATTAGGGCACCATATTTCAGGCAACAAATTCTTTGAAATCTTTCATTTCCATAGTGAGATAAGGATCAGTTATGTGGCATTGTCAGCCAGAAAACATCACTTAGAGACTATCTTGTACAATAAGTAGAAGACATAGCTGGCGGCCTGCGGAGGACAGAAAGCTCACAGCTTCTGTCCATACCCCTTTCACTTCCTCCTCAAGGAGATGGACCTCTGTGGTTGGTCAAGCTTAAGGATCTTTTATGGGCCACAGCTAATGGTGAAATCTTCCTAACTCTAGGTGAAGATTAATGGGCAAGTTGGAGAGTTAAGGTAGCTTGTGGCTGCTCCTTTTAGAAGGAAGTCTGATCATTGCTCTCTTATTTGTGGAACCCCTCTGTTCCCCCAAATGCTTGGTAAGACATGCTTGAAGACCAATCCTGTGTCAGTAGACTTCATATCTACTCTCTTCTACCAATCACACAACTACAGACAAATAAGAAAAATAAAACAAAGCTCAGACACACTCCCCTGGCCCGGAGGCCGCTCTCCGGCTGGCTGCTTTTCTCTACCCTGGCGCCTCCTGGGCGTTTGGCTCTTTCTTAGATCAAAGAGAGACATGGGTTTGGGATTAAAGAGAAGTAGGTGAAAGGGGTCTCTGGCCTGTTTTGGCATTACACCAAGTAAATAACAGAGTTCTGGCTTAAGCTCAGCTCTGTAGAGCTTTCTCTGTGTTTGGGGAAAATCTCCGATAGTAATGAAGTGATATTTTACTGTGCTTCGTTTTCTGTACATATATCTCTTTCTTAGGTATGTTGTGAGGAGATTCGTTCCCTGGACAAATACCATCTTAATCACCTTCATTACCAACTTTATTTTATTTGCAGTGTTAAAATTTAAATAGACATTCAGGAAACAAGTCTGGTGAGAGAATTATGTTATGAGGTTAATCTTTCAGCATCTGCCTTAGGGACATTGATTATTTCCCCCCTTGTTTTTCACCAAGCTCCAGGCTTGCAAAAGAATTGTGATGTGGTCTGAGGCAAACTTACTGATTGGCTAGTGGTAAGTTAAACCATAACCTGTAGGACCGCTGGGAACCACTACTTGTCATCGGCCAGAAATCCACTGTTTGGAGATGTGCACTGGGAAGGCTATTCATACTTATTGATACATGTTTTGTTCTTGGAACCATGTTAAGTACTGGACACATGCAACAATTTGGAATATCGTTACATTCAACCCTCACAATAGTCTGATGTATATGTTATTAGTCCCGTATTAGAGATGAGTAAACAAGATTAGAGGAAGGGAAGCACACAGCTGGAACCACATAGGTGGCACTGGGATTGGAATAAGTTCCGTCTCACCCTGGACCACCATTTCCATGCTGTGTCTCCACTAGATGATCCTTTCTTTGGTTATTCTAAGTCATTAGTCATCAATAATTTACCTCCAAACTGTAGGTTTCACAGGAGGAGATGCCACTTGAAGCTTCATGGCTTAAAATGGAGATGGAATGTGGAACATGGTGGGAAGCACCGGGAGGGGTTTATTGATAAATTTCAAGTACTTTGTGGGGCTCTGAAAGACTGTCTCCAAATTATTTGTCCTACTACCTCTTTCATATTAGTTCAAATGTCATATGGGTATATCTTTTGGGTTAAATTAAGGAAAATCTCCATGAAAAGTAAAAAACAACAAAAAAACCCCAAAAGACTAGAAAGAGATACTATGAAAAATCCACTCAGATTTCTCAGAGTTTTATTAACTCAAAGAAGCCTTGGTCCAGTTGGAAGAAGACAGAATTAATTGTGACAACCTCTAGCAAACCCTTTAGCGTTCAATGCACTCTAGACCATGAGTATAAAAAAGTTCACTTAATAGGTTCACCAAATTGGTTAGTTTGTGTAGTTCAAAGGGAAACAGACACACAGGACTGTGAGGTTTTGACAGGGGTGAAAGGCAAGTCTGGGTCCAGTGAGCCCAGGCAGGCCATGAAGGGGCAGGGCAGGAGAAGGACGGTGCTGGGAGGCTAGGGAACTGTCCACTTCTGTGCTGGCTGAAGATCACAAAAATCAACACAGCTTTCTACAAATGCTGCCCGTGCCTGATGGAATTAAACAGAGCTCTGAGAAAGACAGCACCGGGGCCGAGGATGCGCCCTGAGCTGCCTACAGTCATCAATATCTTGGCCAGTGGCTATGCATTCAGGGGCAATTTGGCTAGCTTTCTTCATCCACGCCAGAAAACTCGCTTTTGAATTGGTTTGGAAAGCTCCAAAAAGGACGTGCTTCATGCTGTTGGTATTGCTGTCAAAAAGAAAAGATTCTGCTTTTCATCAGCTGTTGATTTTTGCTCTCTGTATTTCTCTAGCATGTGTTGCTGGTGGCCCTGGTTATGCTAAGAAGTAGATAGTGTAGCTGCAGCAGCAGAACAGAAAAGACTCTCCTGGATTCTCAGTTCCAGGCTGGCCTGGGAACAGGCTTAGGGATGTTTCAATGCTTGAATGCAGGTGAGCTGGAGATCTGTGGCAATTCTTTTGATATGAGGCTGGACATTCTTTATAGCTTCCCCAGACACAGGAATTGGCAGAGCTTGAAAAAGAATTACTGGCAGGAGGTTCATTTTCTTTATTGCTACCTCCCCAGCCATAAAACTAAAAGCTTTTTACCTAAATCACGTTAGCCATCTCATGGGAGTAGGAGATCATTTCCTTCAGAGTCTTTCCCGATTGGAGTCTAGTCCTAGGATGGTTTGAACAGTCCGTTTGAATTTGAAGAGCTTTCTAATTGACGCTTCTCATCCCCTCTCCAACCAGTCTTATTTGGTGTCGTCTGCCTTTCCCTACCAAAGGCACCCCTTATTTGACAGGGGTGAAAGGCAAGTCTGGGTCCAGTGAGCCCAGGCAGGCCATGAAGGGGCAGGGCAGGAGAAGGACCGTGCTGGGAGGCTAGGGAACTGGCCACTTCTGTGCTGGCTGAAGATCACAAAAATCAACACAGCTTTCTCCAAATGCTGCCCGTGCCTGATGGAATTAAACAGAGCTCTGGGAAAGACAGCACCGGGGCCGAGGATGCGCCCTGAGCTGCCTACAGTCATCAATACCATATGATTCAGTAATCCCACTCACATCTATAAATCTCTATATCTGTATCTTTATCTACCTATATCTATCTTCAAAAGAATGGAAAGCAGTTACTCCAATAGATACTTGTGCACCTGTGTTCTCTCCCCACCCCACCCCCCCCTTTTTTTTTAAATAAATAGGGTCTCATTCTGTTTCCCAGCCTGGAGTGCAGGGGCTGTTTATAGGCATGATCCCCCTGCTGGGGAGCTGTCCACAGGCACGATCCCCTGCTGCGGGGCCATCCACAGGCACAACCTCCCTGCTGTGGGGCTGTCCACAGGCACGAACCCCTGCTGAGGGGCTGTCCACAGGCATGACACCCTGCTGCGGGGCTGTTTACAGGCACGATCCCCATGCTGCAGGGCTGTCCAAGGGCACGATCTCCCTGTTGCGGGGCTGTCCACGGGCAGGATCTCCCTGCTGCGTCGCTGTCCACAGGCATGACCCCCTGCTGGTCAAACTGGGAGTTGTTCCCTGCTTTGTCTCCAACCCAGGCCGGTTCGCCCCTCCTTAGGCAACCTGGTAGTCCCTTATCCCAGGAGGTCACTGTACTAATGTCTAATTTCGTGCAGACATCTGATCAACACAGCACACTGCAGCCCAGGACTCCTGAGCTCAAGCAATCTTCCTGCCTCAGATGCCTTAGTAGCAGGAACTACAGGCACATGCCACCACACCTGCCTGCTACACCTGTGTTCATTGCAGCATCACAGCAGCCTTATTTACAGGAACCACAAGGTGGAAACAACCTAAAAAGTCTATTGAGGGATAGATTGATAAACAAAATGTGGTATAGACATAAAATGGAATATTAGTGATCTTTAAAAAGGGAGGGAATTCTGATACTTGCTACCACATAGATAAAACTTAAAAACATTATGCTAAGTGAGACGTCAAACACAGACTACGTGATTCCATCTATATGAAGAACCTGGAACAGGCAAATTAATAGAGACAAAAAGTAGAATAGAGGTTTTCAGGACTGGCAGGAGGTGGAAATGGGCGGGGTTAATGTCTAATGGGCACAGAGTTCCTGTCTGGGATGATAGAATGTTTCAGAAATGGATAGCGGTGATGATTGCACAGCATTGTGAATGTAGCTAATGGCATTGAATTCTTTACCAGAAAACAAAAGCAAAAACAGAAACACATTGTTTAAGCTTTCCAGTCGGACAGGTGACGTGCTTGGTGTGAGCTGGGGTCTGAGACCAGGCTGCCCTTGCCAGAGTGGCTTCAAGACCCTTCTTGGTTGTACTTAGGCCTGATTGCTCTGGAGAGCCCCATACATGAAAGCCAGCTCTGGTTCTGTCTCTTCTCACTCCAGTCCTCCCTACCCCCAACATCCCCCAGCTGGGCATTATGAGAAAAGCAAGATGACTATGAGTTTTCTGATTATTTATATGACCAAATAATCTCAGGGACTGTTACTAACTAACCCATGGGATTCCCACTACCTTCATGAGTTTCAGACGAGGTGAAGGGTCCCTAAAATCCTGCCACCTAGTCAGGAACTCAGTTGTCAATAATTTCTTTATTTGTGATACAAGCAGGGGTGGGGAAAGATAAATGAACAGACTTGGAAGCTTCTCCGAGGCCCTAGAGAAGACCTCTGGGCTCCGAACACCAGATGCCAGGAGAAAGGAGGGTGGTTGATGACTCCCCACTCTTTCTCCAGCCCCTGCTCCTCTGTTTCTCCCCTTCACCCACTGCAGCTTCCTCAGGTCCTGGGTCCCATGCCATCATCTCTTCGAATGACCTCCTTTCTATCCCTGTTAATAAAGGAGCATCAGCTAAGTGAACGTGGTGATTTGCATTCACTTACATTGATTCAGAAATTGTGTTTAATTCCACACAAGAAAAAGAATGTGGATCTTTTTCACTGGGGAAAAAAAAGTCGCTATGTATCATCTTAATCATGTTTTCCTGGGATATAATCTATACATGACGCTTATTTAAGCCTTCATTGCATCTGTGCACGTGGTTTGCTTTCCTCTCATGTGAAATAGTGTTGGACCACACGAGTTTGGGCCACAGCCCAGGAAAACACAATCCTAAACGTCGTAATCCCATATGTTGAAGTCCCAAAAGATCTAAATCTGTACAGTCTAAAATCCTGAAAATTACAATCCTAAAAAAACAAAATTCTGAACATACAATTCTGGAAAAAAATTATTAACACATTCTTTAAAAAGCATTTATTGGGCAGCACATGGTGGCTCATGCCTTTAATCCCAGCACTTTTGGAGGCTGAGGTGGGTGGATCACAAATTCAAGAGATGGAGACCATCCTGGCTGACACGGTGAAACCCCATCTTTACTAAAAATACAAAAAATTAGCCAGGCATCGTGACGGGTGCCTGTAGTCCCAGCTACTCGGGAGGCTGAGGCAGGAGAATCGCTTGAACCCAGGAGGTGGAGGTTACAGTGAGCCGCGATCGCAACACTGCACTCCAGCCTGGGCGACAGAGTGAGACTCTGTCTAAAAACAACAACAAAAAAGCATTTATTTATATTTTTAAGATGGAATTTATTTGAGAAACGTATAAAAACACAACGGAACGCTTCCTAGGCCACTTTACACAATCAATAGGCAATAATAACATACGTATATTTGCAAGCATAAAACTCAGATATGCTAATGATAGTCTCACGGGTATAATGGTAATGAGCAGATGAGTTGTAAAGAAATGGGTCAAAAAGCAAAATGTATAAAAGCATGGTTGGTAACTGGGTGCACTCAGCTTTATAACTTAGGTCATCTGGAATATTGTGACAGACAACCTAAGTCTTTTGACCAGATTCATCAAAAGCTGGGATGGGTCACCATCTAATATGCAGTCAAAGAGCTGAGATCCTGAGGAATTTTCTCTTTCCCAAATGCAAATGTGCAAAAAGGATATCTTCTCACTTATTGAGGAAACTTTAATGTTTTTATGTACATGTACAATGCTTACACATAAAGTCAGTGTTGTGATAATGCACTCTTGTGGAGTTAAATTTGCAAAAAAAAAAAAAACGCATAAAACAAATTAGAACTCTCTAAAAGTCTTTGCAAAATTTATACCTCCAGTATTGGAAATGATACTAAGATGAAATACACAGCATAGCAACTTGTAAAAAATAATGCTGACAATTTAAAATAGTGGAAAAAATGGAAAAAGAAACAACTAAAAAGAAAATTGACACATAAAAAGTATATTACATGGATAGATTATGGGCAATTGCAGAGTTCATCATAGATGGCTGACTTTCATGATCATTAGCTATATTTTGAAGTCATGCATCACGATGAATAGTTGCCTTTTTTGTTTTTAGGATTTGACTCTCCTCATAAAATACATTCACATTCATTTTCTACGTGGCACTGCTCTTTTTGAAATTCTTCTATAATTTGATACACACTGACATGAGCATTTCCTATTATATTTTCCAATCTTCTATGCCATTCTTGTCTATTGTTTTGAGTATGAGGAAATCCATTTTGCAGGCCCTCATATACAGGCCACTCATTTGGCAGAAACAATACTCTTGGTTGAACAGCAACACCGTTGCCTAAATGACTTCTTATCCCACCTTGCACATCATTATTTTCAAACCAGTATGTAATATTTCTGTCTTCTTCAGGCAATTGTGGTTTTAATTTATCAAAAGCTCCTGGAATTTTATCAGGTGGAAGGAATGCCAATACAGACAAATGACACATTTTTAAACTAAAATTTTCATCATTGCCAGATGGCCTGGTCAATCCACTCACCTGAATTTTCTGGCAAATGAGCTGGGCTGAATGGAAGATATAAAGTTTACTGGTAACAACTTGCATTTCACTTTTAGAAGCCTTGATCACACCTAATTAAAAACTTGTCATTATAATTTGGTGATCCAATTGAAATCTATTTTCTTCTGCAAAGCCCTCCAAATCTTCAAATAAGCTTTTAAAAAGTACTTCACTTTTTCCAGTTATTAAACCATAAACATGCAGATTAAATTACAGAATTTTGTAATCCAATTGGGGCATAAACTGTATAAAGTTGATTTAAAAAACCCACTGGGGACAGTTTTGAAAGTGCCGTTCATCAGCCAAAGTGAAACAGGCACCAGTTTTGTTATGTTAAATTTAGTGGTAAATAAACATATTTATCTTTTTTGACAGTCAAATCCCTAATCAAGAATAGTTCATGATTTAATATGTCTTGTAGCACTGGAGGAAGCTCTGTGCCAGGAGGTGTCTGGCTCAGAAGACCACTGAATTTTTTGAAGTATTTTTATTATCTCACAAAAGGCATTTTGTGAAGGCAAGCATGATGCTACCTGTAGAGGTGTTTGGTACATGATTACATAATTTGGCAGACAAGATTTTGTGCATTTTTTACTTTCATTTTAACTTCTTCTGTGATATTCAGGACATTCAAAACAGTGATAGCAGATCTTCCCCACCTAGTCCGCTCAGACCCACACACTGATCTCTTCTGAGAAATCCATCACAGACATACCCAAAATAATGCTTTCCCAGCTTTCCAGGGATTCCTTAATCCAGTCAAGTTGACACCTGAAATTAAGCCTGCAAGTCCATCCCTTGCAGATTTGACACCCATATGGACCTCCTTAAACCATACATAATTTCCAAATAAAAAGAAAACAAAGCAACAGTTGTACCTAACACGATGCAACTAACTTGGTACAACTCTCCTGTGATTGTGATTTTCTGGATTTTAGATGTTAATAATTTAGACTTTAGGACTGGGCATGGTGGCTCATGCCTGTATTCCCAGCACTTTGGGAGGCCAAGTCAGGAGGATCACTTGAGCCCAGGAGTTTGAAATCAGCCGGGGCAATAAATTGAGACCCCATGATATGGTTTGGCTGTGTCTCCAACCAAATCTCATCTTGAATTGTAGTTCCCATAATCCTCACATATCATGATGGGGACCCAGTGGGAGGTAATTGAATCATGGAGGCAGTTACCCCCATGCTGTTCTCATGATAGTGAGTTCTCACAAGATCTGATGGTTTTATAAGGAGCTTTTCCCCCTTTGCTTGTGCTTCTCCTTCCTGCCACCTCATGAAGAAGGTGACTTGCTTCCCCTTTGCATTCTACCATGCTTGTAAGTTTCCTGAGGCCTCCCCAGCTATGATGAACTGTGAGTCAATTAAACCTCTTTACTTTATAAATTACCCAAGCTTGGTTATGTCTTTATTAGCAGCATGAGAATGGACTGATACAGTAAATGTGTACTGAGGTAGTAGGGTGTTGCTATAAGGATACCTAAAAATGTGGAAGTGAATTTGGAACTGGGTAACAGGCAGAGTTTGAACAGTTTGCAGGGTTCGGAAGAAGAGAGAAAAATGTGAGGAAGTTTGGAACTTCCTAGAGACTTGCAGAATTGTTTTGAGGAAAATGCTGATAATGACATGGACAATGAAGTCCAGGCTGAGGTGGTCTCATATGGAGATGAAGAACTTGTTGGGAACTGGAGTAAAGATGACTCTTGCTATGCAAAGAGACTGATGGCATTTTGCCCCTGCCCTAGAAATCTGTGGAACTTTAAACTTGAGAGACATGGTTTAGGGTATCTGGCAGAATAAATTCCTAAGTAGCAAAGTGTTCAAGAGGAAGCAAAGCATAAAACTTTTAAAAATTTTGCAGCTTGATTATGAGATAGAAAAGGAAAACCCATTTTCTGGAGAGAAATTCAAGCCAGCTGCAGAAATTTGCATAAGTAACGAGGAGCTAAATATTAATCACCAAGACAATGGGAAAATGTCTTCAGGGCATGTCAGAGACCTTCACAGCAACTCAAACCTTCACAGGCCAGGAGGGCTACGAGGAAAAAAATGGTTTAATGGACCCGGTGCAGGGACTTGCTGCTCTGTGCAGTCTCAGGACTTGGCGCCCTGTGTCCCAATCATGGTTAAAGGGCCAATGTACAGCTCAGGCCATGGCTTCAGAGGGTACAAGGCCCAAGCCTTGGCAGCTTACATGAGGCGTTGGGCCTGTGGGTGCACAGAAGTCAAGAATTGAGGTTTGGGTATCTACACCTAAATTTCAGAGGATG
Organism: Homo sapiens; assembly: GCF_000001405.40. Classification (NCBI taxonomy): domain Eukaryota; kingdom Metazoa; phylum Chordata; class Mammalia; order Primates; family Hominidae; genus Homo; species Homo sapiens. The sequence goes on along the minus strand of NC_000020.11, from coordinate 29,038,730 downwards.
CCTGGAAACGCCTGGGTGTTCAGGCACAAATTTGTGATGGGGACGGTACCCTCATGGGGAACCTCTGCTAGGGCAGTGAGTGCAGAAGGGAAATGTGGGGTCAGAGCCCCCACACAGTCCCCACTGGGGCACTGCCTAGTGGAGCTGAGAGAAGACGGCCACCATCCTCCAGACTCCAGAATGGTAGATACACTGACAGCTTACACTGTATTGCCTGGAAAAGCCACAGACACTCAGCACCATCCTGTGAAAGCAGCCAGGAGGAGGGCTGTACTCTTCAAAGCAATAGGGGTGGAGCTGTCCAAGGCCATGAGAGCCCACCTCTTGCTTCAGCGTGACCTGGATGTGAGACATGAAGTCAAAGGAAATCATTTCAGAGCTTCAAGATTTGACTGACCCCTATATCCTCATTGTATCTATGAAGTAACTAACTTAATTTTGACTTTACAGGCTCATAGGCAGAAGGGCCTTGCCTTGTCTAAGATAAGACTTTGGACTTGGATATTTGGGTTAATGCTGGAATGAGCTGAGGCTTTGGGGGACTGTTAGAAAGGCATGATCATGTTTTAAAATGTAAGGACATGAAATTTGGAAGGGGCTGAGGGCAGAATGATATGGTTTGGCTGTGTCCCCACCCAAATCTCACCTTGAAATGTAGTTTCCATAATCCCTACATATTATGGGAGGAACCCAGTTGGAGGTAATTGAATCATGGGGGTGGTTACCCCCGTGCTGTTCTCATGACAGTGAGTGATACCTGAAGGTTTTATAAGGGGCTTTTCCCCTTTTGCTCAGCACCTCCTGGTGCCTTGCTTCTTGTTTGCATTCACCATGATTGTAAGTTTTCTGAAGCCTTCCCAGCCATGCTGAACTGTGAGTCAATCAAACCTCTTTCTTTTATAAATTACCCAGGCTCGTGTATGTTTTTATTTGGAGCATGAAAATGAACCCATTCACTATATCTCTATTAAAAAAAAGAGAATTTAGACCTTAGGAATTTTAATCTTTCAGGATTTCAACATTCAGTGTTATGGTGTTTGTGACTGGGTCTTCTGGGATTATGATCCTCACCTGGACTAAACAGCCTCGCAGCTCTCTTCAAACTATGATCCTATTCTCCCACTGCCTCCTGAGTTCAGCCTCTTCGACTTGGCTAAGTCTGCCTTTCCTTTCCTATCTGTTTGCTTTCTTCCCTCTGATTAATCCATAGTAAAATTTGACTTTTTTTTTCCATTCCAACAACTCCATCTTCTATCACATATCTCCTTTCATGAAGTTGGCCCATGATAATGTTTCTGTTGACAAGAGTATAATATAGACAAGATTGTATATAGTTAAAGTACATATTTTATTTATTTGGTGGCAGCATTCTGATAAGAAATTAAAACTATTTCTTTTAAAATCATAATTTAATCACCAGGCAGAGCAAGTAAAGAGAAATAAGTTCCAGAATCTCACATCTGTCAAAAGTAAATGCTGATTTTTATTGAGGACTTCCTTATTTCTGCCACCAGTTGACTCTCATACAGCTTGTTCACAATAGAATCTAATGTGGAATTGGCAAATATGGTGTCATACATACAGCGCTCTACTGGAGCTGATAATTAAGTACCCAGAAATTTTATGAAGTGTTTGTCAAACCATCAGTAGAAATATTTACACAATGGAAATCAGCAAATGCTACAAATCTGGGCTTCCCCCCACCCAACCAATAGGTTTGCTAGCATACAACTTTTATTCATCTTGTAAACGTTCAGAATTTCTATAAATATTCATAGACTCTCCTATACTGAGTGTGTCAGAATAACTCGAAGTTCTTACAATAGCCAGTGAGGCTGAGTGTGAGTTGACCCACCCCAGTCCCTCTCTCTGACTTGTCTCCTGTTAGCCTTCTGACTCCCAGTGTTCTCTACTTCATGCACATGGGCTAGTCACCCTGCTGTTTGCCTGCCTTTTCTTCCTCGAGTGCTCTTCCCCAGATATCTGCATAGCTGGTGCCCTCACCTCCTTGGAATCTTTGTTCAAATGTTATCTTCTCAGTGAGACCTTATCTATATAAGTTTTCTATGACTGCTGGAATAAATTAGCACACCTCTAGTAGCCTAAAAGAACACACACTCTCTCTAGGGGAGAGAGAACACTTTCTTACCTTCTCCAGCTTTGAAAGGATGCCTGCATCCCTTGGACCCTGGCCCCCTTCCAGGCAACAACCACATCATTCTGACCCTAGCTGTCACGCTTCTTGCCTCAGACTCTCCTGCCTCCCTCTTTTGCTTTTAAGTCCTCTTGTGATGACATTGGCCAACATGGGTAATCCAGAATAATCTCCTCATCTCCTGATCCATAACTTCATCACATCCATAAGTCCTTTTTGCCATATAGGGATATGGACATGTAGAAAGGCCATTCTTCTGCCTATTACTCCCTCCTTGAGCATTCTAACTACCTTCACATCTACCTGCTCCCAGCATTCCTGAGCTCTCTTCCAAACTTAATTTTTCTCTGTGCCACTTATTACCTTCTGGCATATCATATATTTTACATATTTATTTTATTAATGATCTGTCTTTTCTCACTGGAATATAACTTGCATGAGGGTAAACATTTTTGTTTTATATAGTTGACATATTTTCATTAAGTTGAACAGTGCCTTGCTTTTAGTAAGGATTCAAGAAATATATATGGTTTGGCTGAATAAATTAGGTTGAGAAGTTTGGGGGAAATTCCTGGCATGATACAGAAGATGGTTCCCAGTGATGGGAAAGGGCCATGTGGTGGGGCCTCTACAGGAAGCCGGGATGCTCCAGAGGTCCCCCAGGGCAGAGCTGCTTTGCTCACGTTGAACTCTTTGCCCGAGCTCTGATTTCTAATGTTTTCTTTCGTATTTGTTTTTGCTCTCCTTTTTTTAAAACTTTTTATAGATATGAGGTTTTACTATATTTCTCAGGCTGGTATCAAATTCATGAGCTCAAGCAATCTTCCCACCTCAACCTCCCAAACTGTTATTACTAGAGGTGCAAGCCACCACACCCGGCCTGCTTTTCTCTTTCTTTGAAATATACTCAAAATGTTTATATTGGTTTCTAACTATAGATCATGAACTCCTGAAGCAAAGTAACCACTTTGTTCTTCATTATTTCTTTCACTCTTCTACTCTGCACGGTGCCAGATATTGGATATGTAGGTGCCAAACATTTGCTTTTCTGATTTCTTACATTTTATTTCTTAAAAATCAGCCTAACCACGTTGTAGAGAGGGATGATTTCCTTCCTTTGTTTTGAAAATTTGTGCATGCCCAATGCTTACATTGTGCGGTTCAATGTTGCTTCAGCTTTTTTTTTTTTCTATTTTTGCCAGACTTCCGAAACTCTTAAAACTTGTTTGTGGGCCGGGCGCGGTGGCTCACGCCTGTAATCCCAGCACTTTGGGAGACTGAGGCGGGCGGATCACGAGGTCAGGAGATCGAGACCATCCCGGCTAAAACGGTGAAACCCCGTCTCTACTAAAAAATACAAAAAATTAGCCGGGCGTAGTGGCGGGCGCCTGTAGTCCCAGCTACTTGGGAGGCTGAGGCAGGAGAATGGCGTGAACCCGGGAGGCGGAGCTTGCAGTGAGCCGAGATCCCGCCACTGCACTCCAGCCTGGGCGACAGAGCGAGACTCCGTCTCAAAAAAAAAAAAAAAAAAAAAAAAAAAAAAAAAAAAACTTGTTTGTGGTCAGCACAGCAAAGAACACGCTTTAGCTTTGAAAAAATCTTTAACATTGAAAAAATGCACTGACATTGTTTTCAATGTAACATAGGCTAGAATTTGCCTATGTTTGCACATGCTGAGAATTGTCCCACCCGGCTGATGTGTTCACCTCTTCAGCTTGGACCTTGTTGTGAATTTATTTACAAACATCAATTGCCTTCAAGCCATCCTTTCTGCTGTATGTTTTGTAGCCTTCTATAGTAGATACACAACAGATAATGTGGAGAGAAAAGACATAAGAGGAGGAAGGTAATGAGAGACGTTGTCAAGGTAGTAACCTTCTTGGTTTCTTTGAAGAATTTGTTGCCTTTCTACTAAGACAGCAAAGAAACATTTTGTTACTGACCGCCTAAAACCACTCAATCTCAGGTGAATGCATCACTTACCAAGATGTTGGAATGCTATTTGTGTTTTGTTGCACAATTTTTTGGTTGTTTATTTGGTTGGCTTTTTGGAAGGCAAATTTGGAAAGGGGACCTACACAGAAGTGCTGACCCACCCACATTCCCTTATTATCATTACAGACAAGAAGAAACTAGCAGAGCTAAGAATGGAGTGAAGAAAGGCAGTGTGATAAGCACCAGCAAAGAGTTGAGGGCTGTTTCTCTCTAAATTATTATTTGATTATTTTAAAAGTATGGAAGTTCTCTAGTCACTGAAGAAAGGAGGGGAAAGTGCACTTATTTTTATATAGAGTTACTTAACTACCTCCTAAACACATACGTGGCAATTGTTTTTGCTTGTGCAAAGTATTTTAATTAGCAAGAATTCATATATTGAGATTATAATTAGAGAGCTCAATTTATATATTTGCTATCCTGCTCAAGCCTGACATGGAAAAAAAAAAAACAAGTTCACTCCAAAATATATAGCTTCAAAATAATAAATACTGGAAAATTTGTTGTGATAATTATTTTGTACTTTTGTACAAAAAAACTAAAGAACAAATTACCTAAAGAACAATTTGCTAAACATGAGAAATTGCTCCCTTAGAGTATATACAGGTAAGATAGGAAGAGTGTTCAGACCAGTAAATTATAGTTTATATTGAAGATAATATTCAGTAGACTCATAACAAATAAACAGAATTCATGATAACATTTCAGCATTTCCAAGGTACCAAGGGTACTGATTTTTAAAAATATATTTTAGAAGGAATTTAGAACTGGTATTTTTAATGAAGACTAGCATCTCTGATGTTGCAACATGTATGTTAAATGGGTGTTACATCTATCCTGCCCTTTAACTCCACCGTTAACAAAGTGGCTGAAAATAACAGCAAGAAAAAATCAGTCTAAGGAAGAAAACCACTAATGCTCTCAATTTTCTTTCTCTCTCTCTCTCTCTCTATCTCTGTGTGTGTGTGAGTGTGTGTGTGTTAAGGGGGATGGCGGGAGGTGGTCTTAACTCTTGAAAGAAATCTTCTTTGTATAGGAAGCATATTTCGGTTTAGGTAAAATGATAAGAAAGTTTAATTTTATAATCCATAAGACCAGATACCTTCAGAAATGATTTTTCCTGTGGGATTTCTATGACTGGTATTCTGACTAGTGTGAAATGGCAGAATTGGATGTCTATATCTACACCCATCAAAACCTCAGAGCTTCATGCACTGCTATAACTTTTCTGGTAAATCTGGGTAAACTAGGAGGCTGGTACAAGGAATAATTTTAACTTCAGATTTTACAGTTTGTTTATGTTAAGGGCAGAAAGATCTACTTTTCAACGATCTGTATTTTAAGATATTGACTTTTCCTGGTGCTATTTTATGATTATGGATAAAATAGAATTCTTTTTAGAAATCTCAACTCCAAATTGAGAATAGATGTTTTGATACTTGTCCTGCTGTGGCCTGAGACTTGGAATCATGAATTATAAGAGACCTTGTTGTTTATCTACAGATTAGAACACACAAATAAACATCAGCGTAACATCCTAATTAGCATTCTGGTAGTTACATTTACTTATTCCAGAGCCAAATTAATATATGATAAGAAGTGGAATATTTTCTGTTGATATCTAGGGTATTATGAAAACAACCTTCCTTAGAAAAGAAACAGTGTATTTTTTCTGAGGACAGTGGATGCTACAAAATTATTTGCCTTCAAGGCATTGCAAACAACTGGAATCAATTGAATAACCTTCTCAAGCACAAGCCAATAGTGAAATGAAAGTCATTTATCTGTAACAGCAGGCAAGAGCTTCATTGGTACACTTGGAAGGTGGCTCACTAACCCTGCCGAAGTTTTGCTCCATCTGATCAGGGCATAAATGTTTCATTAGCCCAATAACCAAGGTCTTAGAGTTTCACAGTGTTTTCTCTCCAATAGCTAATAGAGGGAGCATTGCTGACATTCTGCCCATGGTTGCCAAGGCTGAAATCAAACGTGCTTTGAATAATACTATAAAAACTTTGAAATTAACCTTTGTCGTTGGAACCAATGTTCAACTGTGGGCTCTATACAAAGCCGCTTAAGGTGGGAGGGAGCAAACTTTTCAAGTAGGTTTTAGGTAACAGAAACAGACGTCTTTATTGGATTTGTCTGGAAAAAAAGTAAGGAAAATCCCAACATTATCAGTTCTGGTCAAGAAGTATAAGGCTCAGTCCCGTTTTATTTTTCTCCTTCTCCTTTGGATCCTTTTTCCTTATTCCTGACTCTATACATGGAGAAAAAGTTCAAGTGCATCTAAAACAGTAATTCTGGGAACTTGCCAACTTATTCCCATGATGCTACTATTGTTTATAAAGCATTTTGAAGATTCTTGTATTCAGAGCTAGTGATAAGCCGCAAGAGGAAGTCAGTCTTGCTGGTGTACAGCTGCATTTTGGGCCCATGTATAGAAGAGCTAACATGGATTTCAGAGTCTCCCAGGTGTTTGAAATCCAGACTCTGCTCTCAGGACCTGTGAGGTCTTAGATAAGTTGCTCAATCTCTTTGAGCCTCAGTTTTCTGAGTACAATGGCACAAACCTTAAAGGACTGCGGTGTGGATGAATTGCGATGATGTGTATGATTCCAGTTCAGGGTCTTCTTTCCTTCCTTCTTTCTTACCTGCCAGGAGGAAAGCAAGGCAGGGCAGCAGAGCGAGAAGTGCTGCCCGTGGAGGCCACTTTTGGGCTGGAGCCTGCTCAAGGCACTTTAGTGCTGAGTCATTTGGGGCCCAAGGTAGGGGCAGATAGAAGAGAAGGAGGGCAGTTATCGCCTAATCACAGGGACAGATAGAAGAGAAGGAGGGCAGTTATCGCCTAGTCACAGGGGCAGATAGAAGAGAAGGACGGCAGTTATCGCCTAGTCACAGGGGCAGATAGAAGAGAAGGAAGGCAGTTATTGCCTAGTAACAGGGACAGATAGAAGAGAAGGACGGCAGTTATCGCCTAGTCAGTAGTTTAACAATCTCTATTTCCTTTCAAACCTCGTTTGACTGCCATTCCAGTCAAATTCACAGGCAATTAAACTTCCTCCTGCATCTCGGAGCAGGCCTCTGCATCATCGTTTCTCCTCTGCAAGTGTATCTTCTTCGGGCACGTGGGAAGGTCTTAGTGCACCTGCGGTATTTAGGGACTTGATCCTCTTTCCTCTTTGTTGTCAAAGTTGTGGTTTGCTGAAGTCAGGACAGAGTCTGATTATGACATGTTAGCAATCGTCACATCTCATGTTTAAGTAAGTATACTTTTATGCAGTTTGAGCTCTCATTCATGTCATTTATTAATTTGTTCATTTGTTAACACATTCATTTGTGGAGCATTTGGCCTATAAAAGAGATGAAATCCTTCCTTACCATTAAGGGAGGAGAGAAAACAAAATGCACAGAGACACATGCTTGGTTTTGTATAACTTTGACGGTTTCTAAAATAAAATAAGGTCTAACTTGGAAAATCAAAACCTATCACTGAGATATTTTCATAATCTAAAAAGTCAGTTTCAAAAGAACTTCCAAAATGTTTTAAAAAATGTCTATCCTTTAGAATAATGATACAGCATTCCAAGGTTTTAATGTTCAACCAGCATTTATTACCACCTGCTGGGTGCCTGAGGCAGGACATTTGTAATGAGAGCCACAAACATGAATTGAAAAAACTGCTGCCCATAGGTTCACAGTTCCTGTCAAAGCATAGAGCCCCCTGTAGATAGAGCCCCCTGTATGAGATGCCCTGTGTTCTGGACGAGAAGATACCCTAGGTCTGCAGATATATCTGGTAGGCAGAACAGGAAAGGTGTCACTGAGGGGGTGCTATGTGAGTTAGTTGTGAAAAATGAGTACGGGTTTATGAGGCAGATATGAGAGGCACTTTGTTGAAGTTACAACTCCTACCAGGCACTCGTTTGAATTTTCTGTTTCATTTGCTCTTTGGAGGTTGCTTGTTGGTACACTTACATCTTTTATGCCAGTCTTAAAAGAGAGGAGTGTGTGTGTGTGTGTCTGTGTTCAGTATTTTTCGCAGAGTTTCTTTGTGTTTCCAAGCTTACTTTAGAGCTGAAGGTTGTCAGAGTTCTCATAACAAATTCGTGATTGAACTAAATTCCAACCTGCCACCTCTGGCGTTGGAGACTTACGGCACCTCAGTGCATTCATGGGGTGTGCTCTACTCTCTACCTTCGTGATTTATTTAAAGACCAAATCATAATGAATAACGTTTCTTAGGCTTAAACCCATAGCAGGAGTAGGAAATAGTTCAAACCTTCTGACTTACATGAAAAAATACAATCTTCAAAAACTACTGTTTTCTAATCTGCATGAATGTACTGAACTCGTTGCCGCCTTCATTTAAATGTGATGTATCAAAAGTGCTTTGTAAACTCTTAAATTAAAATGTTGATATTGTTATAGATATACTTTATTAAATACTGGATAATGATTTTATAAGCTACAGGGTGTTTAACTGTGAAATTATTCTAAAATATGTAGAAAAAATTTGGAATAATCTTCCCATTTTGAACACAATGATTGGTTAAGTTCCCTTGATTTATATGTTTGTATACTGAGGATTCTCAATTGAGTGAACTAGTGTCTTTGCAATATAGTAAGATTTTGGTACAGTTTTTAATTTATCAAGGAAAAGGCTAGATAAGTAGGATCTCATTTGTTTCATAGATCATTATTTGAAGGATGATTTAAGACCATAGGAAATACTGACTCACCTTTTCTAAAAAGACAACTGATTTTCTTATGCTTTTAAGTTCAAATTTATCTTGTCTCCTTTTGATTAATTAAAACAACACTTATCAAAAACCTTAACAGAAAATATTATTTATTGAATCAGAAGAGAAACAGGAAATACTGTGCTTTCTTGAGCCTGTTTCCTATACCCCAGTATCATAAGAATTGTTGTTGCTTCTATAATGTTCAGCTGCAAATTATTTTGCTTGATCAATCAAAATGAATTACCTGAATTTTCTCTTCTTGTTCAAAATGGAACCACATTCATCCACCTACCCCTAGCCCTAGGACTGTTTCTTTCATTCCGATAGTTTGTGATATCCTTGACTTCACAGAAGAAAGCTGTGAGACTCCCAAACCCCTTCACTCAGGTCCCGTGGGGCCTGCCCTCTAAAGTCTCTTCAGTCTTCTTTCTTTGAATGTTCATGGCCACCTTGTCGTTTAGACTCTTATCCCTGACTGTAAGAGATCTCTCGGGTCTTACTGCCTGTGGTCATGCCTAATTTGTACCCTTCCTAAAATGTGATGTGGTCATGTCACTGCCTTGCTTAGAAGCCCTGCACTGGCTTCCAACACGTGCAGAATCAAGTGCTTGCTGTTTAACATTGTCTACCCAGTCCTCCAGATTTTGGCTTCCAGTTATTTTCTCAGCCTCAAAAAAAGCACCTCGCTCTCCAAATATATCAAATAGCTTGTGCCCTCCTGCCTCCTGTTCACACCTCCATTCCTTCCCCTCTACCTGGATGCTCCTCCCTTCATCCGCCCCCCCGCTGTAAGCTCCCATGGATTCACTTTGGACCTCCCGTCTCTCACTCCTGGCTTCTGTCTGTCTACCTGTCTTGACCGGCCATTTGCACTGCCTCTGGCTTATCTGCCTCATTCTCGTCGACAGTGTTATTTATTAGCTTCATATCTACTGGTTCTCTCAATTATCTCTCAGCCTCCCCACACCAGGCTCCTTGCCCCGTATTTATAAGCTGCTATTGGCGTGAGGGTGACTGTGCCTTTCTAATAAAACTATTTTAAAGACTGATAGTTACAAAGGTATAGTAGAAAAGAAATGAATTTTCCTTTGATTGTATTTCACCATATCTAGTGATCCATGAATATTTCTTCTTATTATTGTCATTATTGTGAAGGACCTCTTCAAGGAGAACTACAAACCACTGCTCAAGGAAATAAAAGAGGATATAAACAAATGGAAGAACATTCCATGCTCATGGGTAGGAAGAATCAATATCGTGAAAATGGCCATACTGCCCAAGGTAATTTACAGATTCAATGCCATCCCCATCAAGCTACCAATGCCTTTCTTCACAGAATTGGAAAAAACTACTTTAAAGTTCATATGGAACCAAAAAAGAGCCTGCATCACCAAGTCAATCCTAAGCCAAAAGAACAAAGCTGGAGGCATCACACTACCTGACTTCAAACTATACTACAAGGCTACAGTAACCAAAACAGCATGGTACTGGTACCAAAACAGAGATATAGATCAATGGAACAGAACAGAACCCTCAGAAATAATGCTGCATATCTACAACTATCTGATCTTTGACAAACCTGAGATAAACAAGCAATGGGGAAAGGATTCCCTGTTTAATAAATGGTGCTGGGAAAACTGGCTAGCCATATGTAGAAAGCTGAAACTGGATCCCTTCCTTACACCTTACACAAAAATCAATTCAAGATGGATTAAAGACTTAAACATTAGACCTAAAACCATATCATTATTGTTATTTTTAAATAGACGATCAGGGAAGGCAGAGTCTAGGCCACCAATGTGAACTTAGGCTTTCATCTTTATTAAGATATTTGGGATCTCTGCAAGTATTCTGAATTTTAAATGGCATTCAATGATTTGATAAAATAGGAAATTTGTTTTACTCTGAACTGGGTAGTGTTTCAGCAACTGGCTACTGTGTCATTATTTCTATAAATTCAAAATGTAGAAGGAACATTTACCTTTTAACTGTTCTCAACCGTTTTTCTTGGTGCACTCATGCCTCTGTGATCTCATGAAGCCCAATGGCATTAAATTCCATGTATATGTGCATGGTCCATGAACACATATTTCCAGCTCCTACCTCTCCTCTAAAATTTAGACTCATATCTAATTATCTGCCGATTATCACCACTTGGAAGACTAATAGACAACTCAACTATCACACATCCATAAGGGAATTATTGATCCTCCACCTTCAACCTCTGGGCCCAACACTCCTCAGTCTTCTCTGACTCAGTAAATAGCACCTCCAGCGTACCAGCCGTTAGGCCAGAAAACTTGTCTTGACCCCTCTTTGTTTCTTACACCTCATATCAGCATACACTGTTGAACTGTATTAAGAATCTGAGCTTCCCTTGCTACACCCATTGTGTACACCCTGCTTCACTTTACGTCATTGCTTTCATGGATTATGAAAATAGCCTTCTAACTCCTCTCCCACTTTCTCTTTCTCCCTGTACTTTGTACTTCACTGAGCAACCAGAGTAAGTCTTTATTTATTTATTTATTTTTGAGACAGAGTCTCCTCTGTCTCCCAGGCTGGAGTGCAGTGGTGCAATCTGGGTTCAATACAACCGCTAACTCCTGGGTTCAAGTGATTCTCCTGCCTCAGGCTCCCAAGTAGCTGGGACTACAGGCATGCACCACCAAACCTGGCTAATTTTTGTGTTTTTAATAGAGATGTGGTTTTGCCATGTTGGCCAGGCAGGTCTTGAACCCCTGACCTCAGGTGATCCAGAGTAAGTCTTTTCAAAGCATAAGGAAAATAATGTTTTCATCTGCTTAAAACCTTCCATGGCTAGGAATGTTTTAAACCATCTTGTCCCCTGACACTTCTCTGATGTGTAGTCCAGTCAGTCTCCCCTCTATTTTGCAATCTTCAAAGACACCAGGCAGTTGTGCTTCTGCCTCAGGGCCTTTGCATGTGTGGTCCCCTTTGCTTGGAATGCTTTCTCATCAGGAATCAGCATGGCTTACTTCCTCTCTTTTTTATTTTTATTTTATTTTATTATTATTATACTTTAAGTTTTAGGGTACATGTACACAACGTGCAGGTTTGTTACATATGTATACATGTGCCATGTTGGTTTGCTGCACCCATTAACTCATCATTTAGCATTAGGTATATCTCCTAATGCTATCCCTGCCCCTTACCCCAACCCACAACAGTCCATGGTGTGTGATGTTCCCCTTCCTGTGTCCATGTGTTCTCATTGTTCAATTCCCACCTCTGAGGGAGAACATGCAGTGTTTGGTTTTTTGTCCTTGCGCTAGTATGCTGAGAATGATGGTTTCCAGTTTCATCCATGTCCCTACAAAGGACATGAACTCATCATTTTTTATGGCTGCATAGTATTCCATGGTGTATATGTGCCACATTTTCTTAATCCAGTCTATCGATGTTGGACATTCAGGTTGGATCCAAGTCTTTGCTATTGTGAATAGTGTTGCAATAAACATAAGTGTGCATGTGTCTTTATAGCAGCATGATTTATAATCCTTCGTGTATATACCCAGTAATGGGATGGCTGGGTCAAATGGTATTTCTAGTTCTAGATCCTTGAGGAATCGCCACAGTGACTTCCACAATGGTTGAACTAGTTTACATTCCCACCAACAGTGTAAAAGTGTTCCTATTTCTCCACATCCTCTCCAGCACCTGTTGTTTCCTGACTTTTTAATGATCACCATTCTAACTGGTGTGAGATGGTATCTCATTGTGGTTTTGATTTGCATTTCTCTGATGGCCAGTGATGATGAGCATTTTTTCATGTGTTTTTTGGCTGCATAAATGTCTTTTTTTGAGAAGTGTCTGTTCATATCCTTCGCCCACTTTTTGATGGGGTTGTTTGATTTTTTCTTGTCGATTTGCTTGAGTTCATTGCAGATTCTGGATATTAGCCCTTTGTCAGTTGAGTAGGTTGTGAAAATTTTCTCCCATTCTGCAGGTTTCCTGTTCACTTTGATGGTAGTTTCTCCATTTGTCAATTTTGGCTCTTGTTGCCATTGCTTTTGGTGTTTTAGACATGAAGTCCTTGCCCATGACTATGTGCTGAATGGTATTGCCTAGGTTTTCTTCTAGGTTTTTTATGGTATTAGGTCTAATATGTAAGTCTTTAATCCATCTTGAATTGATTTTTGTATAAGGTGTAAGGAAGGGATCCAGTTTCAGCTTTCTACATATGGCTAGCCAGTTTTCACAGCACCATTTATTAAATAGGGAATACTTTCCCCATTTCTTGTTTTTCTCAGGTTTGTCAAAGATCAGATAGTTGTAGATATGCGGCATTATTTCTGAGGGCTCTGTTCTGTTCCATTGGTCTACATCTCTGTTTTGGTAACAGTACAATGCTGCTTTGATTACTGGGTACTGTAGCCTTTTAGTATAGTTTTAAGTCAGTTAGTGTGATGACTTCAGCTTTGTTCTTTTGGCTTAGGATTGACTTGGTGATGCCAGCTCTTTTTTGGTTCCAAATGAACTTTAAAGTAGTATTTTTTCAATTCTGTGAAGAAAGTCATTAGTAGCTCGATGGGGATGGCATTGAATCTATAAATTACCTTGGGCAGTATGGCCATTTCCACGATATTGATTCTTCCATATTCCTACCCATGAGTATGGAATGTTCTTTCATTTGTTTGTATCCTCTTTTATTTCATTGAGCAGTGGTTTGTATTTCTCCTTGAAGAGTTCCTTCACATCCCTTGTAAGTTGGATTCCTAGGTATTTCATTCTCTTTGAAGCAATTGTGAATGGGAGTTCACTCATGACGTGGCTCTCTGTTTGTCTGTTATTGGTGTATAAGAATGCTTGTGATTTTTGTACATTGATTTTGTATCCTGAGACATTGCTTAATTTGCTTATCAGCTTAAGGAGATTTTGGGCTGAGACAATGGGGTTTTCTAGATATACAATCATGTCATCTGCAAACAGGGACAATTTGACTTCCTCTTTTCCTAATTGAATGCCCTTTATTTCCTTCTCCTGCCTGATTGCCCTGGCCAGAAATTCCAACACTATTTTGAATAGGAGTGGTGAGAGAGGGCATCCCTGTCTTGTGCCAGTTTTCAAAGGGAATGCTTCCAGTTTTTGCCCATTCAGTATGATATTGGCTGTGGGTTTGGCATAGATAGCTCTTATTATTTTGAGATACGTCCCATCAATACCTAATTTATTGAGAGTTTTTAGTATGAAGTGTCAGTGAATTTTGTCAAAGGCCTTTTCTTCATCTATTGAGATAATCATGTGGTTTTTGTCTTTGGTTTTGTTTCTATGCTGCATTATATTTATTGATTTGCGTATATTGAACCAGCCTTTCATCTCAGAGATAAAGCCCACTTGATCATGATGGATAAGCTTTTTGATGTGCTGCTGGATTCAGTTTGTCAGTATGTTATTGAGGATTTTTGCGTCAATGTTAATCGAGTATATTAGTTTAAAATTCTCTTTTTTGGTTGTGTCTCTGCCAGGCCTTGGTATCAGGATGATGCTAGCCTCATAAAATGAGTTAGGGAGGATTCCCTCTTTTTCTATTGATTGGAATATTTTCAGAAGGAATGGTACCAGTTCCTCCTTGTACCTCCGGTAGAATTCGGCTGTGAATCCATCTGGTCCTGGACTCCTTTTAGTTGGTAAGCTATTGATTATTGCCACAACTTCAGCTCCTGTTTTTGGTCTATTCAGAGATTCAACTTCTTCCTGGTTTATTCTTGGGATAGTGTATGTGTCAATGAATTTATCCATTTCTTCAAGATTTCCTAGTGTATTTACACAGAGGTGTTTGTAGTATTCTCTGATGGTAGTTTGTATTTCTATGGGATCGGTGGTGATATCCCCTTTATCATTGTTTATTGTGTCTATTTGATTCTTCTCTTTTTTTCTTTATTAGTCTTGCTAGTGGTCTATCATTTTTTTGATCCTTTCAAAAAACCAGCTTAAGGAGCTCTTTTAGGGCAGGCCTGTTGGAGACAAAATCTCTCAGCATTTGCCTGTCTGTAAAGTATTTTATTTCTACTTCATTTATGAAGCTTAGTTTGGCTGGATATGAAATTCTGGGTTGAAAATTCTTTTCTTTAAGAATGTTGAATATTGGCCCCCAGATGTTAGTCTGATGGGCTTCCCTTTGTGGGTCACCCAACCTTTCTCTCAGGCTGCCCTTAACATTTTTTCATTCATTTCAACTTTGGTGAATCTGACAATTATGTGTCTTGGATTTGCTATTCTCGAGGAGTACCTTTGTTGCCTTCTACGTATTTTCTGAATTTGAATGTTGGCCTGCCTTGCTAGATTGGGGAAGTTCTCCTGGATAATATCCTGCAGAGTGTTTTCCAGTTTGGTTCCATTCTACCCGTCAATTTCAGGCACACAAATCAGACGTAGATTTGGTCTTTTTACGTAGTCCCATATTTCTTGGAGGCTTTGTTCATTTCTTTTTATTCTTTTTTGCTAAACTTCTCTTCTCGCTTCATTTCATTCCTTTTGTCTTCCATCACTGATATCCTTTCTTCCAGTTGATCACATCGGCTACTGAGGCTTCTGCATTCATCACTTAGTTCTCGTGCCTTGGTTTTCAGCTCCATCAGGTCCTTTAAGGACTTCTCTGCATTGGTTATTCTAGTGATCCATTCATCTATTTTTTTTCAAAGTTTTTATCTTCTTTGCCATTGGTTCGAATCTCCTCCTGTAGCTCAGAGTAGTTTGATCATCTGAAGCCTTCTTCTCTCAACTCATCAAAGTCATTCTCCATCCAGCTTTGTTCCATTGCTGGTGAGGAGCTGTGTTCCTTTGGAGGAGGAGAGGTGCTCTGAATTTTAGAGTTTCCAGTTTTTCTGCTCTACTTGTTTCCCTTCTTTGTGGTTTTATCTAACTTGGGCTTTGATTATGGTGATGTACAGATGGGTTTTTGGTGTGGATGTCCTTTCTGTTTGTTAGTTTTCCTTCTAACAGTCAGGACCCTCAGCTGCAGGTCTGTTGGAGTTTATTGGAAGTCCATTCCAGACCCTGTTTGCCTGTGTATCAGCAGCGGTGACTGCAGAACAGTGGATATTGGTGAACCGCAGATGCTGCTGCCTGATCGTTCCCCTGGAAGTTTTGTCTCAGAAGAGTACCAGGCTGTGTGAGGTTTCAGTCCAACCCTACTGGGGGGTGCCTCCCAGTTAGGCTACTCAGGAGTCAAGGACCCACTTGAGGAGGCAGTTTGTCCATTCTCAGATCACAAGCTGTGAGCTGGGAGAACCACTACACTCTTCAAAGCTGTCAGAGAGGGATATTTAAGTCTGCAGAGGATACTGCTGACTTTTTGTTTGTCTGTGCCCTGCCCCCAGAGGTGGAGCCTACAGAGGCAGGCAGGCCTCCTTGAGCTCTGGTGGGCTCCACCCAGTTCCTGCTTCCTGGCTACTTTGTTTACCTACTCATGCCTTAGCAATGGCAGGCGTCCCTCCCCCAACCTCACTGCCACCTTGCAGTTTGATCTTAGACTGCTGTGCTAGCAATGAGTGAGGCTCCATGGACGTAGGACTCTCTGAGCCAGGTGCAGGATATAATATCCTGGTGTGACATTTTTTAAGCCCATTGGAAAAGCGCAGTGTTAGGGTGGGAGTGACCCAACTTTCCAGATGCCATCTGTCACCACTTTCTTTGACTAGGAAAGGGAATTCCCTGACCCCTTGCACTTCGCGGGTGAGGCAATGCCTTGCCCTGCTTCGGCTCATGCACGTTGCACTGCACCCACTGTCCTGCACCTACTGTCTGGCACTCACCAGTGAGATGAACCTGGTACCTCAGTTGGAAATGCAGAAATCAACTGTCTTCTGCATCACTCACACTGAGAGCTGTAGATCAGAGCTGTTCCTATTCGGCCTTCTTGGCTCCTCCCCCCCCACATTCATTTTAAGGATAAATAATATTCTGTTGTGTGTATATACCATATTTTCTTTGTCTGTTTGACTCTTAGAAGATATCTGGATTTCTTTTTAAATTTTTTACTGTAAATGATGCTGCTATAAAATTTGCTTTGAAAGTATCAGTGCATAAGTGAATACAATTTTAAAACCTGAACACATTTCTGCATGCAGTTCTTAGATTGAATAACAGAGTCCAGACATGGTGGTTCACACCTGTAATCCCAAAACTTTGGGAGGCTGAGGCAGGCAGATCACTTAAGCTCAGGAGTTCGAGACCAGCCATGGAAACATGGCAAAACCCCATCTCTACTAAAAATTCAAAAATTAGCTGGGCATTGTGGTGCTTGCTTGTAGTCCCAGCTATTCGGTAGACTGAGGCACAAGGATCACTTAATCCACAGAGGCAGAGTTTGCAGCTTATGTCATTGTTTTTAATTATTTTGGATACACCTGTAATTGGAACATATGGAACTGTTCCACCTGTTGTGAAACATATGGTAATTCTATGTAGAACTTTCTGATACACTGCCAATCTATTGGTCACAGTCAAAAAATCATTTTATATTCTCACCAGCCATGCACCAGGGTTTCACTTCCCCCACATCCTTGCCAATACTTGTTGTTTTTCATTTTTGTTGTTTTGGTTTTTATGTAGCCACTCTAATAGATGTAAAGTGGTAACTTGTTGTGGTTTTGTTATCCATGTCCATCATGACTGGTGATGTTGAGCATTTTTCTGTAGACTTTTTGACCCAATGTAGATACAAGTCCTCTGCCCTTTTATAAATGCTGTTGTTTCGTTTTGTTGTTGAGTTTTAGAAGTTCTTTATATATCCTGCTTATTATATTTTACCTTATGTACCCAATCAGTTACATGCTTTGCAAATCTTTTCTCCCATTTGCTGGTTGTCTTTTCACTCTCTTGTTCATGCTTTTTGTATCAAATTTTAGTAGAGGTGGGGTTTTTTCTATCAAAAAACACGAACAACAGAGTGCTTTTCATATCAAAAAATTCACATTTAAATCAAGTCCAATTTATCTGTTTTTTATTTTCTGGCCTATGCTTTTGGTGTTACAGTCAAGAAACCATCACAAAATTTAAAGTTATAAGATTTTTGCTTATGCTTTTTCCTAAGAGTTTTTAAAGTTTAACTTTTTGAAACTTTTACAGTAAGTTCGGGTATATGTGTGAAGGTTTGTTACACAGGTAAACATATGTCACAGGAGTTTGCTGTAGAGATGATTTCATCACCCAGGTATTAAGCCCAGTACCCAGTGGCTATCTTTTCTGCTTCTTTCCCTCCTCCCACCCTCTTACTTGAAATAGACCCCAGGGTCTACTGTTTTCCTCCTCGTGTTCATACATTCTTATTATTTAGCTCCCACTTATAAGTCAGAACATGCGATATTTGGTTTTCTCTTCCTGTGTTAGTTTGCTAAGGACAGTAGTATCCAGCTACATCTATTTTCCCACAAAAGACATAATCTCATTCTTTTTTATGGGTACATAGTATTCCATAATGTATACGTAGCACATTTGCTGTTGTGAATAGGGCTGCAGTGAACATTTGCATGCATGTGTCTTTATGGTAGAATAATTCCTATTTTTCTGGAAATATACGCAGTAATGGGATTGCGAGCAGAACTATTGAATGTTAGTTCTGCTTTTAGCTCTTTGAGGAATTGCCAAACTGCTTTCCACAGCAGTTGAACTAATTTACACTCCCACCAACAGTGTATAAGTTCCCTTTTCTCTACAACCTCTCCAGCATTTATTGTTTGACTATAGCCATTCTGACTAGTGTGAGATGGCATTTCATTGTGGTTTTAATTTTCATTTCTCTAACTATCATTGATGCTGAGCTTTTTCTCATACACTTGTTGGCCTCATGTATGTCTTCTTTCGAAAACTGTTCATGTCTTTGCCCACTTTTTAATGGGGTTGTTTTTCTTTTGTAAATTTAATTTCCTTATAGATGATAGATATTAGACCTTTGTTAGATAGATAGTTTACAAATATTTTTTTCCACTCCATAGTTTTTCTGTTTACTCTGTTAATAGTTTTTTTTCTGCTATGCAAAATCTCTTTACTTTAATTAAATCCTACCTGTTAATTTTTGCTTTTCTTGCTATTGCTTTTGGTATTTCTATCATGAAATCTTTGCCCTTTCCTATATCCAGGATGGTATTGCCTGGATTGTCTTTCATAGTTTTTATACATAAAGATTTTACATTTAAGTCTTCAATCAGTCTTGAGTTGATTTTCTTTTTGTATATGATGTAAATAAAGGGTCCAGCTTCAATCTGCCACATATTGCCAGCCAATTATTCCAGCACCACTTATTGAATAAATAATCTTTTTCTCATTGCTTGTTTTTGTCGGCCTTGTCAATTATCACATGGGCATAGATGTGCAGCCTTGTTTCTGGGCTCTCTATTCTGCTCCATTTGTCTATGTGTCTGTTTTTGTATCAGTATTATGCTGTTTTCATTACTATAGCCCTGTAGTGTAATTTGAAGCCAGGCAACCTGATGCCTGCAGCTTTGTTCTTTTTTGCTTAGGATTGCCTTGGCTATGTGTGCTCCTTTTTGGTTTCATATATATAATTTTTTTTGATGGAATATCACTCTATCATCAGGCTTCAGTGCAGTGGTGCAATCTCAGCTCACTGCAACCTCTGACTCCCTGGTTCAATGGATTCTCCTGCCTCAGCCTCCCGAGTAGCTGGGATTACAAGCGCTTGCCACTAGGCCCAGCTATTTTTTGTATTTTTAGTTGAGAAGGAGTTTCACCATGTTGGCCAGGATGGTTTCGATCTCCTGACCTCATGATCTGCACCCCTCGGCCTCCCAGAGTGCTGGGATTACAGGCGTGAGCCACTGCACCCAGCCTATAGGAATTTTAAAATAGTTTTTTCTAGCTCTGTAAAAAATTTTATTGGCAGTTTGATGGAAATAGCATTAAATCTGTCAATTGCTTTGTGAAGTATAGCCATTTTAGTCATATTGGATATTCCTATCCATGAGCATGGGGTGGTTTTCCATTTGTTTGTGTCTTCTCTGATTTCTTTGAGCAGTGTTTTGTAATTCTCATTGTAGAGCTCTTTCACCTCCCTGGTGAGCTGCATTTCCAGGTATTTTATTATTTCTGTGGCAATTGTGAATGGGATGGCCTTTCTGATTTTGCTGTCAGTGTGGTTATCATTGGTGTAGAGAAATGTTAGTGATCTTTGCACATTGATTTAGTATCTTGAAAATTCGCTGAAGTTGTTTGTTAACTAAAGAAGCTTTGTAGCTGAAACTACAGGGTTTTCTAGATATAGAATTATGTTATCTGCAAACAGAAATAGTTTGGCTTTCTCTCTTCCTATTTGGATGCTTTTTGTATTTCTTTCTCTAGCCTGATTGCCCTGGTCAGGACTTTCAATACTATGTTGAATAGAAATGGTGAGAGAGGGCATTCTTGCCTTGTGCTGGTTTTCAAAAAAAAAACGCTCCCAACTTTTGCCCATTCAACAGATTGTTGGCTGTGGGTTTGTTATACACGGCTTTTATTATTTTCTGCATCTATTGGGATAATCGTCTGTTTTTTGTTTTTAGTTCTGTTTATGTGATGTATTACATTTATTGATTTGCACATGCTGGACCAACCTTGCATCCTAAGGAGGCAGCCTACTTGATAATGACGGATTACCTGTTTGATGTGCTGCTGGATTTGGTTTACAAATATTTTTCTGAAAACTTTTGTAATGATGCTTGTCAAGAATATTGGCCTGAAGTTTTCTTTTCTTTCTTTCTTTTTTTTTTTTTTTTGACAGAGTTTCCCTCTGTTGCCCAGGCTGGAGTGCACTGGCGCAATCTCTGCTTAATGCAAGCTCCGCCTCCTGGGTTCATGCCATTCTCCTGCCTCAGCCTCCCAAGTAGCTGGGACTACAGGTGTCTGCTACCAAGCCCGGCTAATTTTGTGTTTTTGTTGTGTCTCTGCCAGATTTTGGTGTCAAGATCATGCTGTCCTCATAGAATGAGTTTGGGAGGAGACCATCCTCCTCAATTTTTGGGGATAGTTTCTGTAGGAATTGTACAAGCTCTTCTTTGTACATTTTGTAGAATTTGGCTGCAAATCCATAAAGTCCAGGGCTTTCATTTTTTTGATTGGCAAGCTACTTATTACCTATATAATATCAGAGCTTTTTATTGGTCCATTCAGGAAATAATTGTCTTCCTGGCTTAATCTTGGGAGAGTGTGTATATCTAGTAATGTATCTATTTCTTTAAAGTTTTCTAGTTTGTGTGTATAAAGGTGTTCATGTTAATACTGACCCCACATAAATAAAAACAACCATTAGAAACCATTAAAGTTGAACACTTATGTCTTTAATCTATTTTTATTTAATTTTTGTACTTGGAATGTGATAAAGATTCAACTTTACTGGTTTAAATGTGAACTTGTTTTCCCAGAATTTATTGTGGAACAAACTGTCCCTTTCTTTACATAATGACTAAGGCACCCTTGTCAAAAGACAATCAATAATTTATGCAAGGGTTTTTTGGATTATCTATTTTATTTATTTGATCTCTACAATTGTTCTTATGCCACTAGCAAACTGTTATAGTAGCTTTGTATGTTTTCAAATTTAAAATTGTGAAATATCTAATTATGTTCTTCTTTTCAAGATTATTCTGTACATTCAGAGGATTTTCAAATTTCATATGAAGTTTTAAATGAATTATTTTGTTTTTGCAAAAGAAAAGTTGGAAAAATTAAAAATTGGGATTACAGTACATCTGTACACTACTTTGGGTAGCAGTATTTTCATCTTAACTTCATTAAGTCTTCAGGTTCAGGAACATGGAATTTGTTGCCAGTTATTTAAGTCCTTTTTAGTTTTTTTCATAAATATTCTGATCCTGTATTTTTTATTGTACAAAATATGTACCTTCTTATTAAATTTATTGCTAAGAATTATATTATTTTAATGTTGTTGCAAACAATTGTTTTATTAATTTACTGTCAAATTGTTCATTGTTGGTATATGGAAATGCACTTTATGTTTCTGTGTTGTAAAAATAATTATTTCATCTCTCAAATCTAGATTAGCAATTCATTCAGAATAAATATGCCGTATAAATTGGTAGTCATTTAACTTTTTCCAATAAGCTAACCAATTACAATGTGTCTAAATATGTAGAAATGTTGAATTGTGTTAGATTTTCACTTACTGTCACCTGTCATTTATCAGTCAGAATTACATTACTGCACACATAGAACTTTCATTTCTGGGGTCGGGCATGGTGGCTCATGCCTATATTCCTAGCACTTTGTGAGGCCAAGGCAGGCGGACCACCTGAGATCAGGAGTTCGAGACCAGCCTGACCAACATAGTAAAACCCCACCTCTACTAAAAATAGAAAAATAAGCTGAGTGTGGTCGTGGGAGCCTGTACTCCAGCTACTTTGGAGGCTGACACAGGAGAATCACTTGAACAATCCCACAACACAAAACAACCAAAGTTAGTCTTCATGTCAAATATCTTCAATGGATTTTTTTCATCACAGGATTGTTTAGTGCAACATTTTATGGAAAAGATGCATGCTACTGAGATGTAGTTCTGTAAAAGTCTCTTAGAGTTTGTCATTTTGTTGTGTCTTACATCACATACCTGTCCTGTTCCAGGCTATTTTTCAAAGATTTTTGTACACGAATAACCTGGAAAAAGGGTAGTAGTTTTTCTCTTCAGGTGAATGGCAGATAAATTGCTCAATCAATATAATAAAGACAATTTTTCTCTGTGAGGCAAAGGTTGGACAGGTTTGCATGTAACCTACTTTAAGAAGATTGAGGTTTCTTAGTCTTGAGTCTGCTCAGCTGTGACACAAACCTTCCCCAAGTGCAATGTCCATCTGAGCCTTTTGAAGTCCCTCTAAAAAATGTAGTATGGACACGGAGAACTAATACAAATATGAGTCTTTTGCCTCCAGGTAGACAGTAAATTGTAGGTATTTTTTTCATGCTTCAGTGTCTCATGCCTTCTACCAGCATCCATGAAAATGAAAGGTTAATAGGTTTGTTTACAAATAGGATGAAATCTTAGATCCTTCACAATTATTTAATTTTGGAGATGACAATGGGATGCTGAGATAAACACAACTTTCTGAAAGGGGAAAATACACAAATACTTGAAGAGCTTGCAAGGGATATGAGAAGTTCCCCTAGGACTAACAACAACTTCTCTCAGCCAAGTTGATAGCTTGGTGAAACAAGGGATCAAGACTGTGCTGTCTGCTAATGAGACTGATCCTTGAGAGGATTATAACAATGAGCCTGAGAGCTTTGCATGTTCATTTTTCTCCCGCTGGAAAGATCAAGGAGCTCTTAAAGCTAATGTTGAGGCTTGGATGAGTCCAAAACACTAGAAGTTCACCTCTGTGAGATGAATGCACACATCACAAAGAAGTTTCTCAGAATACATCTGTCTAGTTTTTATGTGAAGATATTTCCTTTTCCACCATAGGAGGCAAACCGCTCCAAATATACACTTGCAGATGCTACAAAAAGAGTGTTTCAAAACTACGCAACCAAAAGAAAGGTTCAACTCTGTGAGATGAGTGCACACATCACAAAGAAGTTTCTCAGAATGCTTCTGTCTGGTTTTTATGTGAATATATTTGTTTTACAGCATAGGCCTCTAAGCGCTCCAAATATCCACTTGCAGATTCACCAAAAACAGAGTTTCAAAACTGTTCAATCAAAGGAAAGGTTTAAATCTGTGAGATGAATGCACACATCACAAAGAAGTTTCTCAAAATGCATCTGTCTAGTTTTGATGCAAAGATATTTGCTTTTCCACCAAAGGCCTAAAAGCACTCAAAATATTCACTACAAAAAGATTCTACCAAAAGATTCTACAAAAAGAGTGATTCAAAACTGCTCAATCAAAAGAAATGTTCAACTCTGTGAGATGAATGCACAAATCACAGAGAAATTTCTCAGAATGCTTCTGTCTAGTTTATATGTGAAGATATTTCCTTTTCCACCATAGACCTCAAATCGCTTCAAATATCCATTTACAGATACTACAAAAAGAGTGTTTCAAAACTGCTCAATCAAAAGAAAGGTTCAACTCTGTCAGATGAACGCGCACATCACAAATAAGTTTTTCAGAATTCTTCCGTCTAGCTTTTATGTCAAGATACTTCCTTTTACAACGTATGCAGCAAAGCACTCCAAATACTCTCCTGAAGATTCTACAAAAAGAGTGTTTCAACACTGCTCAATCAAAAGAAAGTTCCACTCTGTGAGATGAATGCACACATCACAAAGAAATTGGGAAGATATTTGTTTTTCCACAGTAGGCCCCAATGAGCTCCAAATACCCACTTGCAGATTCTACAAAAAGAGTGTTTCAAAACTGCTCAATCAACAGAGACATTCAACTTTGTGAGATGAATGCACACATCACAAAGAAGTTTCTCAGAATGCTTCTGTCTAGTTTTTATGTGAAGATATTTCCATTTCCACTGTGGGCCACAAAGGGCTCCAAATATCCACTTGTAGATTCTACAAAAAGAGTGGTTCAAAACTGCTAAATCAAAAGGACGGTTCTACTCTGTGAGTTGAATGCACACATCAAAGAAGTTTCTCAGAGTGCTTCCGTCAAGTTTTTATGTGGAGATATTTCCTTTTTCACCATAAGCCCCTAAGCGCTGCAAATATCCACTTGCAAATTCTACAAAAAGAGTGTTTGAAAACTGCTGAATCAAAAGAAAGGTTCACCACTGTAAGATGAATGCGCACATCACAAAGAAGTTTCTCAGAAAGATTCTGTCTAGTTTTTATGTGAAGATATATCTTTTGCATGGTAGACCTCAAAACGATCCATATATCCAATTGCAGATTCTACAAAAAGAGTGTTTCAAAACTGCTCAATCAAAAGAAAGGTTAACTTCTGTGAGATGAATGCACACATTACAAAGAAGTTTCTCAGAATGCTGCTGTCTAGTTTTTACGTGAATATGTTTCATTTTCCACCATAAGCCTCAAAGCGCTCCAAATATCCACTTGCAGATTATACAAAAAGAGTGTTTCAAAAAAGCTCAATCAAAAGAAAGGTTCAACTCTGTGAGATGAATGCACACATCACAAAGTAGTTTCTCAGATTGCTTCTGTCTAGTTTTTATGTGAAGATATTTATTTTCCACCATAGGCCGCAAAGCGCTCCAAATATTCACTTGCAGATTCTAGAAAAAGAGTGTTTCAAAAGGCTAAATGAAAAGAAAGGTTCAACTCTGTGATATATATGCACACGTCACAAAGAAGTTTCTCAGAATGCTTCTGTCTACTATTTATGTGAAGGTATTTCCTTTTCCAAAATATGCCCCAAAGCGCTCCTATTATCCACAGGCAGATTCTACAAAAAGAGTGTCTCAAAACTTCTCAATCAAAAGAAAATTTCAACCCTGTGAGATGAATGCAAACATCACAAAGAAGTTTCTCAGAATGCTTCTGTCTAGTTTTTAAGTGAAGATATTTCCTTTTCCTCCATAGGCCTCAAAGCGCTCCAAATATCCTCTAGCAGATTCCACAAAAGAGTGTTTCAAAACTGCTTAATCAAAAGAAATGTTCAACTCTGTGAGAGGAATGCACACATCACAAATAAGTTTCTCAGAATGTTTCCTCTAGTTTTTATGTGAAGATATTTCCTTTTCCACCATAGTCCTCAAAGTGCTCCAAATATCCACTGGCTGATTCTCCGAAAAGAGCATTTCAAAACTGCTCAATCAAAAGAAATTTTCAATCTGTGAGATGAATGTGCACATCACAAAGAAGTTTGTCAGAATGCTTCTGTGTAGCTTTTATGTGAATTTATTCCCTTTTCCACAATAGGCCTCAAGTGGCTCCAAATGTCCACTTGCAGATTCTACAAAAAGAGAGTTTCAAAACTGCTCAGTCAAAAGAAATGTTAAACTCTCTCTGATGAATGCACACATCACAAAGAAGTTTCTCAGAATGCTTCCATCAAGTTTTTATGTGGAGATATTTCCTTTCTAGCATCGACCCCTAAGCACTCCAAATATCCACTTACAGATCCTTCAAAAAGTGTGTTTCAAAACTGCTGAATCAAAAGAAAGGTTCAACTCTGTGAGTTGAATGCACATATCAGAAAGAAGTTTCTCAGAATGCTTCTGTCTCGTTTATATGTGAAGGTATTTCCTTTTCCGTCAAACTCATCAAAGCGTTCCAAATATTCACTTGCACATTCTACAAAAAGAGTGTATCAAATCTGCTCAAGGAAAAGAATGGTTCAATTTGGTGAGATAAATGAACACATCACGAGGAAGTTTTGCAGAATGCTTCTGTCTAGTTTTTCTGTGAAAATATTGCCTTTACTACCATAGGACACAATCGCTCCAAATATCTATTTCAGATTCAAAAAAAAGGGTGTTTCAATATTGCTCGATGAAAGGAAAGATTCAACCCGGTGAGATGAACGCACATATCACAAAGAAGTTTCTCAGAAAGCTTCTGTCTAGCTTTTATGTGAAGATATTTCCTTTTAAACCATAGGCCACAATTCGCTCCAAATATCCACTTGCAGATTTATCAAAAAGACTGTTTCAAAACCCTCAATCAAAAGAAAGTTTCAACACTGTGAGATGAATGCACACACTAAAAAGAAGTTTCTCCGAATGCTTCTGTCTAGTTTTTATGTGAAGATATTTCCTTTTCCACCACAGGCCTGAAAGCACTCCAAATATTCACTTGCAGATTCTACAAAAAGAGTATTTCAAAACAGCTCCATCAAAAGAATGGTTCCGCTTGGTGAGATGAATGCACACATCACAAGGAAGTTTCTCAGAGTGCTTCTGTCTAGTTTTTACGTGAAGATATTTCCTTTTCCACCATAGACCACAAATCGCTCCAAATATCCACTTGCATATACAACAAAAAGAGTGTTTCAAAACTGCTCAATCAAAAGAAAGGTTCAACTCTGTGAGATGAATGCACACATCACAAAGTAGTTTCTCAGATTGCTTCTGTCTAGTTTTTATGTGAAGATATTTATTTTCCACCATAGGCCGCAAAGCGCTCCAAATATTCACTTGCAGATTCTAGAAAAAGAGTGTTTCAAAAGGCTAAATGAAAAGAAAGGTTCAACTCTGTGATATATATGCACACGTCACAAAGAAGTTTCTCAGAATGCTTCTGTCTACTATTTATGTGAAGGTATTTCCTTTTCCAAAATATGCCCCAAAGCGCTCCTATTATCCACAGGCAGATTCTACAAAAAGAGTGTCTCAAAACTTCTCAATCAAAAGAAAATTTCAACCCTGTGAGATGAATGCAAACATCACAAAGAAGTTTCTCAGAATGCTTCTGTCTAGTTTTTAAGTGAAGATATTTCCTTTTCCTCCATAGGCCTCAAAGCGCTCCAAATATCCTCTAGCAGATTCCACAAAAGAGTGTTTCAAAACTGCTTAATCAAAAGAAATGTTCAACTCTGTGAGAGGAATGCACACATCACAAATAAGTTTCTCAGAATGTTTCCTCTAGTTTTTATGTGAAGATATTTCCTTTTCCACCATAGTCCTCAAAGTGCTCCAAATATCCACTGGCTGATTCTCCGAAAAGAGCATTTCAAAACTGCTCAATCAAAAGAAATTTTCAATCTGTGAGATGAATGTGCACATCACAAAGAAGTTTGTCAGAATGCTTCCGTGTAGCTTTTATGTGAATTTATTCCCTTTTCCACAATAGGCCTCAAGTGGCTCCAAATGTCCACTTGCAGATTCTACAAAAAGAGAGTTTCAAAACTGCTCAGTCAAAAGAAATGTTAAACTCTCTCTGATGAATGCACACATCACAAAGAAGTTTCTCAGAATGCTTCCATCAAGTTTTTATGTGGAGATATTTCCTTTCTAGCATCGACCCCTAAGCACTCCAAATATCCACTTACAGATCCTTCAAAAAGTGTGTTTCAAAACTGCTGAATCAAAAGAAAGGTTCAACTCTGTGAGTTGAATGCACATATCAGAAAGAAGTTTCTCAGAATGCTTCTGTCTCGTTTATATGTGAAGGTATTTCCTTTTCCGTCAAACTCATCAAAGCGTTCCAAATATTCACTTGCACATTCTACAAAAAGAGTGTATCAAATCTGCTCAAGGAAAAGAATGGTTCAATTTGGTGAGATAAATGAACACATCACGAGGAAGTTTTGCAGAATGCTTCTGTCTAGTTTTTCTGTGAAAATATTGCCTTTACTACCATAGGACACAATCGCTCCAAATATCTATTTCAGATTCAAAAAAAAGGGTGTTTCAATATTGCTCGATGAAAGGAAAGATTCAACCCGGTGAGATGAACGCACATATCACAAAGAAGTTTCTCAGAAAGCTTCTGTCTAGCTTTTATGTGAAGATATTTCCTTTTAAACCATAGGCCACAATTCGCTCCAAATATCCACTTGCAGATTTATCAAAAAGACTGTTTCAAAACCCTCAATCAAAAGAAAGTTTCAACACTGTGAGATGAATGCACACACTAAAAAGAAGTTTCTCCGAATGCTTCTGTCTAGTTTTTATGTGAAGATATTTCCTTTTCCACCACAGGCCTGAAAGCACTCCAAATATTCACTTGCAGATTCTACAAAAAGAGTATTTCAAAACAGCTCCATCAAAAGAATGGTTCCGCTTGGTGAGATGAATGCACACATCACAAGGAAGTTTCTCAGAGTGCTTCTGTCTAGTTTTTACGTGAAGATATTTCCTTTTCCACCATAGACCACAAATCGCTCCAAATATCCACTTGCATATACAACAAAAAGAGTGTTTCAAAACTGCTCAATCAAAAGAAAGGTTCAACTCTGTGAGATGAATGCACACATCACAAAGTAGTTTCTCAGATTGCTTCTGTCTAGTTTTTATGTGAAGATATTTATTTTCCACCATAGGCCGCAAAGCGCTCCAAATATTCACTTGCAGATTCTAGAAAAAGAGTGTTTCAAAAGGCTAAATGAAAAGAAAGGTTCAACTCTGTGATATATATGCACACGTCACAAAGAAGTTTCTCAGAATGCTTCTGTCTACTATTTATGTGAAGGTATTTCCTTTTCCAAAATATGCCCCAAAGCGCTCCTATTATCCACAGGCAGATTCTACAAAAAGAGTGTCTCAAAACTTCTCAATCAAAAGAAAATTTCAACCCTGTGAGATGAATGCAAACATCACAAAGAAGTTTCTCAGAATGCTTCTGTCTAGTTTTTAAGTGAAGATATTTCCTTTTCCTCCATAGGCCTCAAAGCGCTCCAAATATCCTCTAGCAGATTCCACAAAAGAGTGTTTCAAAACTGCTTAATCAAAAGAAATGTTCAACTCTGTGAGAGGAATGCACACATCACAAATAAGTTTCTCAGAATGTTTCCTCTAGTTTTTATGTGAAGATATTTCCTTTTCCACCATAGTCCTCAAAGTGCTCCAAATATCCACTGGCTGATTCTCCGAAAAGAGCATTTCAAAACTGCTCAATCAAAAGAAATTTTCAATCTGTGAGATGAATGTGCACATCACAAAGAAGTTTGTCAGAATGCTTCCGTGTAGCTTTTATGTGAATTTATTCCCTTTTCCACAATAGGCCTCAAGTGGCTCCAAATGTCCACTTGCAGATTCTACAAAAAGAGAGTTTCAAAACTGCTCAGTCAAAAGAAATGTTAAACTCTCTCTGATGAATGCACACATCACAAAGAAGTTTCTCAGAATGCTTCCATCAAGTTTTTATGTGGAGATATTTCCTTTCTAGCATCGACCCCTAAGCACTCCAAATATCCACTTACAGATCCTTCAAAAAGTGTGTTTCAAAACTGCTGAATCAAAAGAAAGGTTCAACTCTGTGAGTTGAATGCACATATCAGAAAGAAGTTTCTCAGAATGCTTCTGTCTCGTTTATATGTGAAGGTATTTCCTTTTCCGTCAAACTCATCAAAGCGTTCCAAATATTCACTTGCACATTCTACAAAAAGAGTGTATCAAATCTGCTCAAGGAAAAGAATGGTTCAATTTGGTGAGATAAATGAACACATCACGAGGAAGTTTTGCAGAATGCTTCTGTCTAGTTTTTCTGTGAAAATATTGCCTTTACTACCATAGGACACAATCGCTCCAAATATCTATTTCAGATTCAAAAAAAAGGGTGTTTCAATATTGCTCGATGAAAGGAAAGATTCAACCCGGTGAGATGAACGCACATATCACAAAGAAGTTTCTCAGAAAGCTTCTGTCTAGCTTTTATGTGAAGATATTTCCTTTTAAACCATAGGCCACAATTCGCTCCAAATATCCACTTGCAGATTTATCAAAAAGACTGTTTCAAAACCCTCAATCAAAAGAAAGTTTCAACACTGTGAGATGAATGCACACACTAAAAAGAAGTTTCTCCGAATGCTTCTGTCTAGTTTTTATGTGAAGATATTTCCTTTTCCACCACAGGCCTGAAAGCACTCCAAATATTCACTTGCAGATTCTACAAAAAGAGTATTTCAAAACAGCTCCATCAAAAGAATGGTTCCGCTTGGTGAGATGAATGCACACATCACAAGGAAGTTTCTCAGAGTGCTTCTGTCTAGTTTTTACGTGAAGATATTTCCTTTTCCACCATAGACCACAAATCGCTCCAAATATCCACTTGCATATACAACAAAAAGAGTGTTTCAAAACTGCTCAATCAAAAGAAAGGTTCAACTCTGTGAGATGAATGCACACATCACAAAGTAGTTTCTCAGATTGCTTCTGTCTAGTTTTTATGTGAAGATATTTATTTTCCACCATAGGCCGCAAAGCGCTCCAAATATTCACTTGCAGATTCTAGAAAAAGAGTGTTTCAAAAGGCTAAATGAAAAGAAAGGTTCAACTCTGTGATATATATGCACACGTCACAAAGAAGTTTCTCAGAATGCTTCTGTCTACTATTTATGTGAAGGTATTTCCTTTTCCAAAATATGCCCCAAAGCGCTCCTATTATCCACAGGCAGATTCTACAAAAAGAGTGTCTCAAAACTTCTCAATCAAAAGAAAATTTCAACCCTGTGAGATGAATGCAAACATCACAAAGAAGTTTCTCAGAATGCTTCTGTCTAGTTTTTAAGTGAAGATATTTCCTTTTCCTCCATAGGCCTCAAAGCGCTCCAAATATCCTCTAGCAGATTCCACAAAAGAGTGTTTCAAAACTGCTTAATCAAAAGAAATGTTCAACTCTGTGAGAGGAATGCACACATCACAAATAAGTTTCTCAGAATGTTTCCTCTAGTTTTTATGTGAAGATATTTCCTTTTCCACCATAGTCCTCAAAGTGCTCCAAATATCCACTGGCTGATTCTCCGAAAAGAGCATTTCAAAACTGCTCAATCAAAAGAAATTTTCAATCTGTGAGATGAATGTGCACATCACAAAGAAGTTTGTCAGAATGCTTCCGTGTAGCTTTTATGTGAATTTATTCCCTTTTCCACAATAGGCCTCAAGTGGCTCCAAATGTCCACTTGCAGATTCTACAAAAAGAGAGTTTCAAAACTGCTCAGTCAAAAGAAATGTTAAACTCTCTCTGATGAATGCACACATCACAAAGAAGTTTCTCAGAATGCTTCCATCAAGTTTTTATGTGGAGATATTTCCTTTCTAGCATCGACCCCTAAGCACTCCAAATATCCACTTACAGATCCTTCAAAAAGTGTGTTTCAAAACTGCTGAATCAAAAGAAAGGTTCAACTCTGTGAGTTGAATGCACATATCAGAAAGAAGTTTCTCAGAATGCTTCTGTCTCGTTTATATGTGAAGGTATTTCCTTTTCCGTCAAACTCATCAAAGCGTTCCAAATATTCACTTGCACATTCTACAAAAAGAGTGTATCAAATCTGCTCAAGGAAAAGAATGGTTCAATTTGGTGAGATAAATGAACACATCACGAGGAAGTTTTGCAGAATGCTTCTGTCTAGTTTTTCTGTGAAAATATTGCCTTTACTACCATAGGACACAATCGCTCCAAATATCTATTTCAGATTCAAAAAAAAGGGTGTTTCAATATTGCTCGATGAAAGGAAAGATTCAACCCGGTGAGATGAACGCACATATCACAAAGAAGTTTCTCAGAAAGCTTCTGTCTAGCTTTTATGTGAAGATATTTCCTTTTAAACCATAGGCCACAATTCGCTCCAAATATCCACTTGCAGATTTATCAAAAAGACTGTTTCAAAACCCTCAATCAAAAGAAAGTTTCAACACTGTGAGATGAATGCACACACTAAAAAGAAGTTTCTCCGAATGCTTCTGTCTAGTTTTTATGTGAAGATATTTCCTTTTCCACCACAGGCCTGAAAGCACTCCAAATATTCACTTGCAGATTCTACAAAAAGAGTATTTCAAAACAGCTCCATCAAAAGAATGGTTCCGCTTGGTGAGATGAATGCACACATCACAAGGAAGTTTCTCAGAGTGCTTCTGTCTAGTTTTTACGTGAAGATATTTCCTTTTCCACCATAGACCACAAATCGCTCCAAATATCCACTTGCATATACAACAAAAAGAGTGTTTCAAAACTGCTCAATCAAAAGAAAGGTTCAACTCTGTGAGATGAATGCACACATCACAAAGTAGTTTCTCAGATTGCTTCTGTCTAGTTTTTATGTGAAGATATTTATTTTCCACCATAGGCCGCAAAGCGCTCCAAATATTCACTTGCAGATTCTAGAAAAAGAGTGTTTCAAAAGGCTAAATGAAAAGAAAGGTTCAACTCTGTGATATATATGCACACGTCACAAAGAAGTTTCTCAGAATGCTTCTGTCTACTATTTATGTGAAGGTATTTCCTTTTCCAAAATATGCCCCAAAGCGCTCCTATTATCCACAGGCAGATTCTACAAAAAGAGTGTCTCAAAACTTCTCAATCAAAAGAAAATTTCAACCCTGTGAGATGAATGCAAACATCACAAAGAAGTTTCTCAGAATGCTTCTGTCTAGTTTTTAAGTGAAGATATTTCCTTTTCCTCCATAGGCCTCAAAGCGCTCCAAATATCCTCTAGCAGATTCCACAAAAGAGTGTTTCAAAACTGCTTAATCAAAAGAAATGTTCAACTCTGTGAGAGGAATGCACACATCACAAATAAGTTTCTCAGAATGTTTCCTCTAGTTTTTATGTGAAGATATTTCCTTTTCCACCATAGTCCTCAAAGTGCTCCAAATATCCACTGGCTGATTCTCCGAAAAGAGCATTTCAAAACTGCTCAATCAAAAGAAATTTTCAATCTGTGAGATGAATGTGCACATCACAAAGAAGTTTGTCAGAATGCTTCCGTGTAGCTTTTATGTGAATTTATTCCCTTTTCCACAATAGGCCTCAAGTGGCTCCAAATGTCCACTTGCAGATTCTACAAAAAGAGAGTTTCAAAACTGCTCAGTCAAAAGAAATGTTAAACTCTCTCTGATGAATGCACACATCACAAAGAAGTTTCTCAGAATGCTTCCATCAAGTTTTTATGTGGAGATATTTCCTTTCTAGCATCGACCCCTAAGCACTCCAAATATCCACTTACAGATCCTTCAAAAAGTGTGTTTCAAAACTGCTGAATCAAAAGAAAGGTTCAACTCTGTGAGTTGAATGCACATATCAGAAAGAAGTTTCTCAGAATGCTTCTGTCTCGTTTATATGTGAAGGTATTTCCTTTTCCGTCAAACTCATCAAAGCGTTCCAAATATTCACTTGCACATTCTACAAAAAGAGTGTATCAAATCTGCTCAAGGAAAAGAATGGTTCAATTTGGTGAGATAAATGAACACATCACGAGGAAGTTTTGCAGAATGCTTCTGTCTAGTTTTTCTGTGAAAATATTGCCTTTACTACCATAGGACACAATCGCTCCAAATATCTATTTCAGATTCAAAAAAAAGGGTGTTTCAATATTGCTCGATGAAAGGAAAGATTCAACCCGGTGAGATGAACGCACATATCACAAAGAAGTTTCTCAGAAAGCTTCTGTCTAGCTTTTATGTGAAGATATTTCCTTTTAAACCATAGGCCACAATTCGCTCCAAATATCCACTTGCAGATTTATCAAAAAGACTGTTTCAAAACCCTCAATCAAAAGAAAGTTTCAACACTGTGAGATGAATGCACACACTAAAAAGAAGTTTCTCCGAATGCTTCTGTCTAGTTTTTATGTGAAGATATTTCCTTTTCCACCACAGGCCTGAAAGCACTCCAAATATTCACTTGCAGATTCTACAAAAAGAGTATTTCAAAACAGCTCCATCAAAAGAATGGTTCCGCTTGGTGAGATGAATGCACACATCACAAAGAAGTTTCTCAGAGTGCTTCTGTCTAGTTTTTACGTGAAGATATTTCCTTTTCCACCATAGACCACAAATCGCTCCAAATATCCACTTGCATATACAACAAAAAGAGTGTTTCAAAACTGCTCAATCAAAAGAAAGGTTCAACTCTGTGAGATGAATGCACACATCACAAAGTAGTTTCTCAGATTGCTTCTGTCTAGTTTTTATGTGAAGATATTTATTTTCCACCATAGGCCGCAAAGCGCTCCAAATATTCACTTGCAGATTCTAGAAAAAGAGTGTTTCAAAAGGCTAAATGAAAAGAAAGGTTCAACTCTGTGATATATATGCACACGTCACAAAGAAGTTTCTCAGAATGCTTCTGTCTACTATTTATGTGAAGGTATTTCCTTTTCCAAAATATGCCCCAAAGCGCTCCTATTATCCACAGGCAGATTCTACAAAAAGAGTGTCTCAAAACTTCTCAATCAAAAGAAAATTTCAACCCTGTGAGATGAATGCAAACATCACAAAGAAGTTTCTCAGAATGCTTCTGTCTAGTTTTTAAGTGAAGATATTTCCTTTTCCTCCATAGGCCTCAAAGCGCTCCAAATATCCTCTAGCAGATTCCACAAAAGAGTGTTTCAAAACTGCTTAATCAAAAGAAATGTTCAACTCTGTGAGAGGAATGCACACATCACAAATAAGTTTCTCAGAATGTTTCCTCTAGTTTTTATGTGAAGATATTTCCTTTTCCACCATAGTCCTCAAAGTGCTCCAAATATCCACTGGCTGATTCTCCGAAAAGAGCATTTCAAAACTGCTCAATCAAAAGAAATTTTCAATCTGTGAGATGAATGTGCACATCACAAAGAAGTTTGTCAGAATGCTTCCGTGTAGCTTTTATGTGAATTTATTCCCTTTTCCACAATAGGCCTCAAGTGGCTCCAAATGTCCACTTGCAGATTCTACAAAAAGAGAGTTTCAAAACTGCTCAGTCAAAAGAAATGTTAAACTCTCTCTGATGAATGCACACATCACAAAGAAGTTTCTCAGAATGCTTCCATCAAGTTTTTATGTGGAGATATTTCCTTTCTAGCATCGACCCCTAAGCACTCCAAATATCCACTTACAGATCCTTCAAAAAGTGTGTTTCAAAACTGCTGAATCAAAAGAAAGGTTCAACTCTGTGAGTTGAATGCACATATCAGAAAGAAGTTTCTCAGAATGCTTCTGTCTCGTTTATATGTGAAGGTATTTCCTTTTCCGTCAAACTCATCAAAGCGTTCCAAATATTCACTTGCACATTCTACAAAAAGAGTGTATCAAATCTGCTCAAGGAAAAGAATGGTTCAATTTGGTGAGATAAATGAACACATCACGAGGAAGTTTTGCAGAATGCTTCTGTCTAGTTTTTCTGTGAAAATATTGCCTTTACTACCATAGGACACAATCGCTCCAAATATCTATTTCAGATTCAAAAAAAAGGGTGTTTCAATATTGCTCGATGAAAGGAAAGATTCAACCCGGTGAGATGAACGCACATATCACAAAGAAGTTTCTCAGAAAGCTTCTGTCTAGCTTTTATGTGAAGATATTTCCTTTTAAACCATAGGCCACAATTCGCTCCAAATATCCACTTGCAGATTTATCAAAAAGACTGTTTCAAAACCCTCAATCAAAAGAAAGTTTCAACACTGTGAGATGAATGCACACACTAAAAAGAAGTTTCTCCGAATGCTTCTGTCTAGTTTTTATGTGAAGATATTTCCTTTTCCACCACAGGCCTGAAAGCACTCCAAATATTCACTTGCAGATTCTACAAAAAGAGTATTTCAAAACAGCTCCATCAAAAGAATGGTTCCGCTTGGTGAGATGAATGCACACATCACAAGGAAGTTTCTCAGAGTGCTTCTGTCTAGTTTTTACGTGAAGATATTTCCTTTTCCACCATAGACCACAAATCGCTCCAAATATCCACTTGCATATACAACAAAAAGAGTGTTTCAAAACTGCTCAATCAAAAGAAAGGTTCAACTCTGTGAGATGAATGCACACATCACAAAGTAGTTTCTCAGATTGCTTCTGTCTAGTTTTTATGTGAAGATATTTATTTTCCACCATAGGCCGCAAAGCGCTCCAAATATTCACTTGCAGATTCTAGAAAAAGAGTGTTTCAAAAGGCTAAATGAAAAGAAAGGTTCAACTCTGTGATATATATGCACACGTCACAAAGAAGTTTCTCAGAATGCTTCTGTCTACTATTTATGTGAAGGTATTTCCTTTTCCAAAATATGCCCCAAAGCGCTCCTATTATCCACAGGCAGATTCTACAAAAAGAGTGTCTCAAAACTTCTCAATCAAAAGAAAATTTCAACCCTGTGAGATGAATGCAAACATCACAAAGAAGTTTCTCAGAATGCTTCTGTCTAGTTTTTAAGTGAAGATATTTCCTTTTCCTCCATAGGCCTCAAAGCGCTCCAAATATCCTCTAGCAGATTCCACAAAAGAGTGTTTCAAAACTGCTTAATCAAAAGAAATGTTCAACTCTGTGAGAGGAATGCACACATCACAAATAAGTTTCTCAGAATGTTTCCTCTAGTTTTTATGTGAAGATATTTCCTTTTCCACCATAGTCCTCAAAGTGCTCCAAATATCCACTGGCTGATTCTCCGAAAAGAGCATTTCAAAACTGCTCAATCAAAAGAAATTTTCAATCTGTGAGATGAATGTGCACATCACAAAGAAGTTTGTCAGAATGCTTCCGTGTAGCTTTTATGTGAATTTATTCCCTTTTCCACAATAGGCCTCAAGTGGCTCCAAATGTCCACTTGCAGATTCTACAAAAAGAGAGTTTCAAAACTGCTCAGTCAAAAGAAATGTTAAACTCTCTCTGATGAATGCACACATCACAAAGAAGTTTCTCAGAATGCTTCCATCAAGTTTTTATGTGGAGATATTTCCTTTCTAGCATCGACCCCTAAGCACTCCAAATATCCACTTACAGATCCTTCAAAAAGTGTGTTTCAAAACTGCTGAATCAAAAGAAAGGTTCAACTCTGTGAGTTGAATGCACATATCAGAAAGAAGTTTCTCAGAATGCTTCTGTCTCGTTTATATGTGAAGGTATTTCCTTTTCCGTCAAACTCATCAAAGCGTTCCAAATATTCACTTGCACATTCTACAAAAAGAGTGTATCAAATCTGCTCAAGGAAAAGAATGGTTCAATTTGGTGAGATAAATGAACACATCACGAGGAAGTTTTGCAGAATGCTTCTGTCTAGTTTTTCTGTGAAAATATTGCCTTTACTACCATAGGACACAATCGCTCCAAATATCTATTTCAGATTCAAAAAAAAGGGTGTTTCAATATTGCTCGATGAAAGGAAAGATTCAACCCGGTGAGATGAACGCACATATCACAAAGAAGTTTCTCAGAAAGCTTCTGTCTAGCTTTTATGTGAAGATATTTCCTTTTAAACCATAGGCCACAATTCGCTCCAAATATCCACTTGCAGATTTATCAAAAAGACTGTTTCAAAACCCTCAATCAAAAGAAAGTTTCAACACTGTGAGATGAATGCACACACTAAAAAGAAGTTTCTCCGAATGCTTCTGTCTAGTTTTTATGTGAAGATATTTCCTTTTCCACCACAGGCCTGAAAGCACTCCAAATATTCACTTGCAGATTCTACAAAAAGAGTATTTCAAAACAGCTCCATCAAAAGAATGGTTCCGCTTGGTGAGATGAATGCACACATCACAAGGAAGTTTCTCAGAGTGCTTCTGTCTAGTTTTTACGTGAAGATATTTCCTTTTCCACCATAGACCACAAATCGCTCCAAATATCCACTTGCATATACAACAAAAAGAGTGTTTCAAAACTGCTCAATCAAAAGAAAGGTTCAACTCTGTGAGATGAATGCACACATCACAAAGTAGTTTCTCAGATTGCTTCTGTCTAGTTTTTATGTGAAGATATTTATTTTCCACCATAGGCCGCAAAGCGCTCCAAATATTCACTTGCAGATTCTAGAAAAAGAGTGTTTCAAAAGGCTAAATGGAAAGAAAGGTTCAACTCTGTGATATATATGCACACGTCACAAAGAAGTTTCTCAGAATGCTTCTGTCTACTATTTATGTGAAGGTATTTCCTTTTCCAAAATATGCCCCAAAGCGCTCCTATTATCCACAGGCAGATTCTACAAAAAGAGTGTCTCAAAACTTCTCAATCAAAAGAAAATTTCAACCCTGTGAGATGAATGCAAACATCACAAAGAAGTTTCTCAGAATGCTTCTGTCTAGTTTTTAAGTGAAGATATTTCCTTTTCCTCCATAGGCCTCAAAGCGCTCCAAATATCCTCTAGCAGATTCCACAAAAGAGTGTTTCAAAACTGCTTAATCAAAAGAAATGTTCAACTCTGTGAGAGGAATGCACACATCACAAATAAGTTTCTCAGAATGTTTCCTCTAGTTTTTATGTGAAGATATTTCCTTTTCCACCATAGTCCTCAAAGTGCTCCAAATATCCACTGGCTGATTCTCCGAAAAGAGCATTTCAAAACTGCTCAATCAAAAGAAATTTTCAATCTGTGAGATGAATGTGCACATCACAAAGAAGTTTGTCAGAATGCTTCCGTGTAGCTTTTATGTGAATTTATTCCCTTTTCCACAATAGGCCTCAAGTGGCTCCAAATGTCCACTTGCAGATTCTACAAAAAGAGAGTTTCAAAACTGCTCAGTCAAAAGAAATGTTAAACTCTCTCTGATGAATGCACACATCACAAAGAAGTTTCTCAGAATGCTTCCATCAAGTTTTTATGTGGAGATATTTCCTTTCTAGCATCGACCCCTAAGCACTCCAAATATCCACTTACAGATCCTTCAAAAAGTGTGTTTCAAAACTGCTGAATCAAAAGAAAGGTTCAACTCTGTGAGTTGAATGCACATATCAGAAAGAAGTTTCTCAGAATGCTTCTGTCTCGTTTATATGTGAAGGTATTTCCTTTTCCGTCAAACTCATCAAAGCGTTCCAAATATTCACTTGCACATTCTACAAAAAGAGTGTATCAAATCTGCTCAAGGAAAAGAATGGTTCAATTTGGTGAGATAAATGAACACATCACGAGGAAGTTTTGCAGAATGCTTCTGTCTAGTTTTTCTGTGAAAATATTGCCTTTACTACCATAGGACACAATCGCTCCAAATATCTATTTCAGATTCAAAAAAAAGGGTGTTTCAATATTGCTCGATGAAAGGAAAGATTCAACCCGGTGAGATGAACGCACATATCACAAAGAAGTTTCTCAGAAAGCTTCTGTCTAGCTTTTATGTGAAGATATTTCCTTTTAAACCATAGGCCACAATTCGCTCCAAATATCCACTTGCAGATTTATCAAAAAGACTGTTTCAAAACCCTCAATCAAAAGAAAGTTTCAACACTGTGAGATGAATGCACACACTAAAAAGAAGTTTCTCCGAATGCTTCTGTCTAGTTTTTATGTGAAGATATTTCCTTTTCCACCACAGGCCTGAAAGCACTCCAAATATTCACTTGCAGATTCTACAAAAAGAGTATTTCAAAACAGCTCCATCAAAAGAATGGTTCCGCTTGGTGAGATGAATGCACACATCACAAGGAAGTTTCTCAGAGTGCTTCTGTCTAGTTTTTACGTGAAGATATTTCCTTTTCCACCATAGACCACAAATCGCTCCAAATATCCACTTGCATATACAACAAAAAGAGTGTTTCAAAACTGCTCAATCAAAAGAAAGGTTCAACTCTGTGAGATGAATGCACACATCACAAAGTAGTTTCTCAGATTGCTTCTGTCTAGTTTTTATGTGAAGATATTTATTTTCCACCATAGGCCGCAAAGCGCTCCAAATATTCACTTGCAGATTCTAGAAAAAGAGTGTTTCAAAAGGCTAAATGAAAAGAAAGGTTCAACTCTGTGATATATATGCACACGTCACAAAGAAGTTTCTCAGAATGCTTCTGTCTACTATTTATGTGAAGGTATTTCCTTTTCCAAAATATGCCCCAAAGCGCTCCTATTATCCACAGGCAGATTCTACAAAAAGAGTGTCTCAAAACTTCTCAATCAAAAGAAAATTTCAACCCTGTGAGATGAATGCAAACATCACAAAGAAGTTTCTCAGAATGCTTCTGTCTAGTTTTTAAGTGAAGATATTTCCTTTTCCTCCATAGGCCTCAAAGCGCTCCAAATATCCTCTAGCAGATTCCACAAAAGAGTGTTTCAAAACTGCTTAATCAAAAGAAATGTTCAACTCTGTGAGAGGAATGCACACATCACAAATAAGTTTCTCAGAATGTTTCCTCTAGTTTTTATGTGAAGATATTTCCTTTTCCACCATAGTCCTCAAAGTGCTCCAAATATCCACTGGCTGATTCTCCGAAAAGAGCATTTCAAAACTGCTCAATCAAAAGAAATTTTCAATCTGTGAGATGAATGTGCACATCACAAAGAAGTTTGTCAGAATGCTTCCGTGTAGCTTTTATGTGAATTTATTCCCTTTTCCACAATAGGCCTCAAGTGGCTCCAAATGTCCACTTGCAGATTCTACAAAAAGAGAGTTTCAAAACTGCTCAGTCAAAAGAAATGTTAAACTCTCTCTGATGAATGCACACATCACAAAGAAGTTTCTCAGAATGCTTCCATCAAGTTTTTATGTGGAGATATTTCCTTTCTAGCATCGACCCCTAAGCACTCCAAATATCCACTTACAGATCCTTCAAAAAGTGTGTTTCAAAACTGCTGAATCAAAAGAAAGGTTCAACTCTGTGAGTTGAATGCACATATCAGAAAGAAGTTTCTCAGAATGCTTCTGTCTCGTTTATATGTGAAGGTATTTCCTTTTCCGTCAAACTCATCAAAGCGTTCCAAATATTCACTTGCACATTCTACAAAAAGAGTGTATCAAATCTGCTCAAGGAAAAGAATGGTTCAATTTGGTGAGATAAATGAACACATCACGAGGAAGTTTTGCAGAATGCTTCTGTCTAGTTTTTCTGTGAAAATATTGCCTTTACTACCATAGGACACAATCGCTCCAAATATCTATTTCAGATTCAAAAAAAAGGGTGTTTCAATATTGCTCGATGAAAGGAAAGATTCAACCCGGTGAGATGAACGCACATATCACAAAGAAGTTTCTCAGAAAGCTTCTGTCTAGCTTTTATGTGAAGATATTTCCTTTTAAACCATAGGCCACAATTCGCTCCAAATATCCACTTGCAGATTTATCAAAAAGACTGTTTCAAAACCCTCAATCAAAAGAAAGTTTCAACACTGTGAGATGAATGCACACACTAAAAAGAAGTTTCTCCGAATGCTTCTGTCTAGTTTTTATGTGAAGATATTTCCTTTTCCACCACAGGCCTGAAAGCACTCCAAATATTCACTTGCAGATTCTACAAAAAGAGTATTTCAAAACAGCTCCATCAAAAGAATGGTTCCGCTTGGTGAGATGAATGCACACATCACAAGGAA
The DNA here is from genome assembly GCF_000001405.40 of Homo sapiens. Taxonomy (NCBI): domain Eukaryota; kingdom Metazoa; phylum Chordata; class Mammalia; order Primates; family Hominidae; genus Homo; species Homo sapiens. Next base: position 28,997,089 of record NC_000020.11, on the reverse strand, counting down.
GTTTCTCAGAGTGCTTCTGTCTAGTTTTTACGTGAAGATATTTCCTTTTCCACCATAGACCACAAATCGCTCCAAATATCCACTTGCATATACAACAAAAAGAGTGTTTCAAAACTGCTCAATCAAAAGAAAGGTTCAACTCTGTGAGATGAATGCACACATCACAAAGTAGTTTCTCAGATTGCTTCTGTCTAGTTTTTATGTGAAGATATTTATTTTCCACCATAGGCCGCAAAGCGCTCCAAATATTCACTTGCAGATTCTAGAAAAAGAGTGTTTCAAAAGGCTAAATGAAAAGAAAGGTTCAACTCTGTGATATATATGCACACGTCACAAAGAAGTTTCTCAGAATGCTTCTGTCTACTATTTATGTGAAGGTATTTCCTTTTCCAAAATATGCCCCAAAGCGCTCCTATTATCCACAGGCAGATTCTACAAAAAGAGTGTCTCAAAACTTCTCAATCAAAAGAAAATTTCAACCCTGTGAGATGAATGCAAACATCACAAAGAAGTTTCTCAGAATGCTTCTGTCTAGTTTTTAAGTGAAGATATTTCCTTTTCCTCCATAGGCCTCAAAGCGCTCCAAATATCCTCTAGCAGATTCCACAAAAGAGTGTTTCAAAACTGCTTAATCAAAAGAAATGTTCAACTCTGTGAGAGGAATGCACACATCACAAATAAGTTTCTCAGAATGTTTCCTCTAGTTTTTATGTGAAGATATTTCCTTTTCCACCATAGTCCTCAAAGTGCTCCAAATATCCACTGGCTGATTCTCCGAAAAGAGCATTTCAAAACTGCTCAATCAAAAGAAATTTTCAATCTGTGAGATGAATGTGCACATCACAAAGAAGTTTGTCAGAATGCTTCCGTGTAGCTTTTATGTGAATTTATTCCCTTTTCCACAATAGGCCTCAAGTGGCTCCAAATGTCCACTTGCAGATTCTACAAAAAGAGAGTTTCAAAACTGCTCAGTCAAAAGAAATGTTAAACTCTCTCTGATGAATGCACACATCACAAAGAAGTTTCTCAGAATGCTTCCATCAAGTTTTTATGTGGAGATATTTCCTTTCTAGCATCGACCCCTAAGCACTCCAAATATCCACTTACAGATCCTTCAAAAAGTGTGTTTCAAAACTGCTGAATCAAAAGAAAGGTTCAACTCTGTGAGTTGAATGCACATATCAGAAAGAAGTTTCTCAGAATGCTTCTGTCTCGTTTATATGTGAAGGTATTTCCTTTTCCGTCAAACTCATCAAAGCGTTCCAAATATTCACTTGCACATTCTACAAAAAGAGTGTATCAAATCTGCTCAAGGAAAAGAATGGTTCAATTTGGTGAGATAAATGAACACATCACGAGGAAGTTTTGCAGAATGCTTCTGTCTAGTTTTTCTGTGAAAATATTGCCTTTACTACCATAGGACACAATCGCTCCAAATATCTATTTCAGATTCAAAAAAAAGGGTGTTTCAATATTGCTCGATGAAAGGAAAGATTCAACCCGGTGAGATGAACGCACATATCACAAAGAAGTTTCTCAGAAAGCTTCTGTCTAGCTTTTATGTGAAGATATTTCCTTTTAAACCATAGGCCACAATTCGCTCCAAATATCCACTTGCAGATTTATCAAAAAGACTGTTTCAAAACCCTCAATCAAAAGAAAGTTTCAACACTGTGAGATGAATGCACACACTAAAAAGAAGTTTCTCCGAATGCTTCTGTCTAGTTTTTATGTGAAGATATTTCCTTTTCCACCACAGGCCTGAAAGCACTCCAAATATTCACTTGCAGATTCTACAAAAAGAGTATTTCAAAACAGCTCCATCAAAAGAATGGTTCCGCTTGGTGAGATGAATGCACACATCACAAGGAAGTTTCTCAGAGTGCTTCTGTCTAGTTTTTACGTGAAGATATTTCCTTTTCCACCATAGACCACAAATCGCTCCAAATATCCACTTGCATATACAACAAAAAGAGTGTTTCAAAACTGCTCAATCAAAAGAAAGGTTCAACTCTGTGAGATGAATGCACACATCACAAAGTAGTTTCTCAGATTGCTTCTGTCTAGTTTTTATGTGAAGATATTTATTTTCCACCATAGGCCGCAAAGCGCTCCAAATATTCACTTGCAGATTCTAGAAAAAGAGTGTTTCAAAAGGCTAAATGAAAAGAAAGGTTCAACTCTGTGATATATATGCACACGTCACAAAGAAGTTTCTCAGAATGCTTCTGTCTACTATTTATGTGAAGGTATTTCCTTTTCCAAAATATGCCCCAAAGCGCTCCTATTATCCACAGGCAGATTCTACAAAAAGAGTGTCTCAAAACTTCTCAATCAAAAGAAAATTTCAACCCTGTGAGATGAATGCAAACATCACAAAGAAGTTTCTCAGAATGCTTCTGTCTAGTTTTTAAGTGAAGATATTTCCTTTTCCTCCATAGGCCTCAAAGCGCTCCAAATATCCTCTAGCAGATTCCACAAAAGAGTGTTTCAAAACTGCTTAATCAAAAGAAATGTTCAACTCTGTGAGAGGAATGCACACATCACAAATAAGTTTCTCAGAATGTTTCCTCTAGTTTTTATGTGAAGATATTTCCTTTTCCACCATAGTCCTCAAAGTGCTCCAAATATCCACTGGCTGATTCTCCGAAAAGAGCATTTCAAAACTGCTCAATCAAAAGAAATTTTCAATCTGTGAGATGAATGTGCACATCACAAAGAAGTTTGTCAGAATGCTTCCGTGTAGCTTTTATGTGAATTTATTCCCTTTTCCACAATAGGCCTCAAGTGGCTCCAAATGTCCACTTGCAGATTCTACAAAAAGAGAGTTTCAAAACTGCTCAGTCAAAAGAAATGTTAAACTCTCTCTGATGAATGCACACATCACAAAGAAGTTTCTCAGAATGCTTCCATCAAGTTTTTATGTGGAGATATTTCCTTTCTAGCATCGACCCCTAAGCACTCCAAATATCCACTTACAGATCCTTCAAAAAGTGTGTTTCAAAACTGCTGAATCAAAAGAAAGGTTCAACTCTGTGAGTTGAATGCACATATCAGAAAGAAGTTTCTCAGAATGCTTCTGTCTCGTTTATATGTGAAGGTATTTCCTTTTCCGTCAAACTCATCAAAGCGTTCCAAATATTCACTTGCACATTCTACAAAAAGAGTGTATCAAATCTGCTCAAGGAAAAGAATGGTTCAATTTGGTGAGATAAATGAACACATCACGAGGAAGTTTTGCAGAATGCTTCTGTCTAGTTTTTCTGTGAAAATATTGCCTTTACTACCATAGGACACAATCGCTCCAAATATCTATTTCAGATTCAAAAAAAAGGGTGTTTCAATATTGCTCGATGAAAGGAAAGATTCAACCCGGTGAGATGAACGCACATATCACAAAGAAGTTTCTCAGAAAGCTTCTGTCTAGCTTTTATGTGAAGATATTTCCTTTTAAACCATAGGCCACAATTCGCTCCAAATATCCACTTGCAGATTTATCAAAAAGACTGTTTCAAAACCCTCAATCAAAAGAAAGTTTCAACACTGTGAGATGAATGCACACACTAAAAAGAAGTTTCTCCGAATGCTTCTGTCTAGTTTTTATGTGAAGATATTTCCTTTTCCACCACAGGCCTGAAAGCACTCCAAATATTCACTTGCAGATTCTACAAAAAGAGTATTTCAAAACAGCTCCATCAAAAGAATGGTTCCGCTTGGTGAGATGAATGCACACATCACAAGGAAGTTTCTCAGAGTGCTTCTGTCTAGTTTTTACGTGAAGATATTTCCTTTTCCACCATAGACCACAAATCGCTCCAAATATCCACTTGCATATACAACAAAAAGAGTGTTTCAAAACTGCTCAATCAAAAGAAAGGTTCAACTCTGTGAGATGAATGCACACATCACAAAGTAGTTTCTCAGATTGCTTCTGTCTAGTTTTTATGTGAAGATATTTATTTTCCACCATAGGCCGCAAAGCGCTCCAAATATTCACTTGCAGATTCTAGAAAAAGAGTGTTTCAAAAGGCTAAATGAAAAGAAAGGTTCAACTCTGTGATATATATGCACACGTCACAAAGAAGTTTCTCAGAATGCTTCTGTCTACTATTTATGTGAAGGTATTTCCTTTTCCAAAATATGCCCCAAAGCGCTCCTATTATCCACAGGCAGATTCTACAAAAAGAGTGTCTCAAAACTTCTCAATCAAAAGAAAATTTCAACCCTGTGAGATGAATGCAAACATCACAAAGAAGTTTCTCAGAATGCTTCTGTCTAGTTTTTAAGTGAAGATATTTCCTTTTCCTCCATAGGCCTCAAAGCGCTCCAAATATCCTCTAGCAGATTCCACAAAAGAGTGTTTCAAAACTGCTTAATCAAAAGAAATGTTCAACTCTGTGAGAGGAATGCACACATCACAAATAAGTTTCTCAGAATGTTTCCTCTAGTTTTTATGTGAAGATATTTCCTTTTCCACCATAGTCCTCAAAGTGCTCCAAATATCCACTGGCTGATTCTCCGAAAAGAGCATTTCAAAACTGCTCAATCAAAAGAAATTTTCAATCTGTGAGATGAATGTGCACATCACAAAGAAGTTTGTCAGAATGCTTCCGTGTAGCTTTTATGTGAATTTATTCCCTTTTCCACAATAGGCCTCAAGTGGCTCCAAATGTCCACTTGCAGATTCTACAAAAAGAGAGTTTCAAAACTGCTCAGTCAAAAGAAATGTTAAACTCTCTCTGATGAATGCACACATCACAAAGAAGTTTCTCAGAATGCTTCCATCAAGTTTTTATGTGGAGATATTTCCTTTCTAGCATCGACCCCTAAGCACTCCAAATATCCACTTACAGATCCTTCAAAAAGTGTGTTTCAAAACTGCTGAATCAAAAGAAAGGTTCAACTCTGTGAGTTGAATGCACATATCAGAAAGAAGTTTCTCAGAATGCTTCTGTCTCGTTTATATGTGAAGGTATTTCCTTTTCCGTCAAACTCATCAAAGCGTTCCAAATATTCACTTGCACATTCTACAAAAAGAGTGTATCAAATCTGCTCAAGGAAAAGAATGGTTCAATTTGGTGAGATAAATGAACACATCACGAGGAAGTTTTGCAGAATGCTTCTGTCTAGTTTTTCTGTGAAAATATTGCCTTTACTACCATAGGACACAATCGCTCCAAATATCTATTTCAGATTCAAAAAAAAGGGTGTTTCAATATTGCTCGATGAAAGGAAAGATTCAACCCGGTGAGATGAACGCACATATCACAAAGAAGTTTCTCAGAAAGCTTCTGTCTAGCTTTTATGTGAAGATATTTCCTTTTAAACCATAGGCCACAATTCGCTCCAAATATCCACTTGCAGATTTATCAAAAAGACTGTTTCAAAACCCTCAATCAAAAGAAAGTTTCAACACTGTGAGATGAATGCACACACTAAAAAGAAGTTTCTCCGAATGCTTCTGTCTAGTTTTTATGTGAAGATATTTCCTTTTCCACCACAGGCCTGAAAGCACTCCAAATATTCACTTGCAGATTCTACAAAAAGAGTATTTCAAAACAGCTCCATCAAAAGAATGGTTCCGCTTGGTGAGATGAATGCACACATCACAAAGAAGTTTCTCAGAGTGCTTCTGTCTAGTTTTTACGTGAAGATATTTCCTTTTCCACCATAGACCACAAATCGCTCCAAATATCCACTTGCATATACAACAAAAAGAGTGTTTCAAAACTGCTCAATCAAAAGAAAGGTTCAACTCTGTGAGATGAATGCACACATCACAAAGTAGTTTCTCAGATTGCTTCTGTCTAGTTTTTATGTGAAGATATTTATTTTCCACCATAGGCCGCAAAGCGCTCCAAATATTCACTTGCAGATTCTAGAAAAAGAGTGTTTCAAAAGGCTAAATGAAAAGAAAGGTTCAACTCTGTGATATATATGCACACGTCACAAAGAAGTTTCTCAGAATGCTTCTGTCTACTATTTATGTGAAGGTATTTCCTTTTCCAAAATATGCCCCAAAGCGCTCCTATTATCCACAGGCAGATTCTACAAAAAGAGTGTCTCAAAACTTCTCAATCAAAAGAAAATTTCAACCCTGTGAGATGAATGCAAACATCACAAAGAAGTTTCTCAGAATGCTTCTGTCTAGTTTTTAAGTGAAGATATTTCCTTTTCCTCCATAGGCCTCAAAGCGCTCCAAATATCCTCTAGCAGATTCCACAAAAGAGTGTTTCAAAACTGCTTAATCAAAAGAAATGTTCAACTCTGTGAGAGGAATGCACACATCACAAATAAGTTTCTCAGAATGTTTCCTCTAGTTTTTATGTGAAGATATTTCCTTTTCCACCATAGTCCTCAAAGTGCTCCAAATATCCACTGGCTGATTCTCCGAAAAGAGCATTTCAAAACTGCTCAATCAAAAGAAATTTTCAATCTGTGAGATGAATGTGCACATCACAAAGAAGTTTGTCAGAATGCTTCCGTGTAGCTTTTATGTGAATTTATTCCCTTTTCCACAATAGGCCTCAAGTGGCTCCAAATGTCCACTTGCAGATTCTACAAAAAGAGAGTTTCAAAACTGCTCAGTCAAAAGAAATGTTAAACTCTCTCTGATGAATGCACACATCACAAAGAAGTTTCTCAGAATGCTTCCATCAAGTTTTTATGTGGAGATATTTCCTTTCTAGCATCGACCCCTAAGCACTCCAAATATCCACTTACAGATCCTTCAAAAAGTGTGTTTCAAAACTGCTGAATCAAAAGAAAGGTTCAACTCTGTGAGTTGAATGCACATATCAGAAAGAAGTTTCTCAGAATGCTTCTGTCTCGTTTATATGTGAAGGTATTTCCTTTTCCGTCAAACTCATCAAAGCGTTCCAAATATTCACTTGCACATTCTACAAAAAGAGTGTATCAAATCTGCTCAAGGAAAAGAATGGTTCAATTTGGTGAGATAAATGAACACATCACGAGGAAGTTTTGCAGAATGCTTCTGTCTAGTTTTTCTGTGAAAATATTGCCTTTACTACCATAGGACACAATCGCTCCAAATATCTATTTCAGATTCAAAAAAAAGGGTGTTTCAATATTGCTCGATGAAAGGAAAGATTCAACCCGGTGAGATGAACGCACATATCACAAAGAAGTTTCTCAGAAAGCTTCTGTCTAGCTTTTATGTGAAGATATTTCCTTTTAAACCATAGGCCACAATTCGCTCCAAATATCCACTTGCAGATTTATCAAAAAGACTGTTTCAAAACCCTCAATCAAAAGAAAGTTTCAACACTGTGAGATGAATGCACACACTAAAAAGAAGTTTCTCCGAATGCTTCTGTCTAGTTTTTATGTGAAGATATTTCCTTTTCCACCACAGGCCTGAAAGCACTCCAAATATTCACTTGCAGATTCTACAAAAAGAGTATTTCAAAACAGCTCCATCAAAAGAATGGTTCCGCTTGGTGAGATGAATGCACACATCACAAAGAAGTTTCTCAGAGTGCTTCTGTCTAGTTTTTACGTGAAGATATTTCCTTTTCCACCATAGACCACAAATCGCTCCAAATATCCACTTGCATATACAACAAAAAGAGTGTTTCAAAACTGCTCAATCAAAAGAAAGGTTCAACTCTGTGAGATGAATGCACACATCACAAAGTAGTTTCTCAGATTGCTTCTGTCTAGTTTTTATGTGAAGATATTTATTTTCCACCATAGGCCGCAAAGCGCTCCAAATATTCACTTGCAGATTCTAGAAAAAGAGTGTTTCAAAAGGCTAAATGAAAAGAAAGGTTCAACTCTGTGATATATATGCACACGTCACAAAGAAGTTTCTCAGAATGCTTCTGTCTACTATTTATGTGAAGGTATTTCCTTTTCCAAAATATGCCCCAAAGCGCTCCTATTATCCACAGGCAGATTCTACAAAAAGAGTGTCTCAAAACTTCTCAATCAAAAGAAAATTTCAACCCTGTGAGATGAATGCAAACATCACAAAGAAGTTTCTCAGAATGCTTCTGTCTAGTTTTTAAGTGAAGATATTTCCTTTTCCTCCATAGGCCTCAAAGCGCTCCAAATATCCTCTAGCAGATTCCACAAAAGAGTGTTTCAAAACTGCTTAATCAAAAGAAATGTTCAACTCTGTGAGAGGAATGCACACATCACAAATAAGTTTCTCAGAATGTTTCCTCTAGTTTTTATGTGAAGATATTTCCTTTTCCACCATAGTCCTCAAAGTGCTCCAAATATCCACTGGCTGATTCTCCGAAAAGAGCATTTCAAAACTGCTCAATCAAAAGAAATTTTCAATCTGTGAGATGAATGTGCACATCACAAAGAAGTTTGTCAGAATGCTTCCGTGTAGCTTTTATGTGAATTTATTCCCTTTTCCACAATAGGCCTCAAGTGGCTCCAAATGTCCACTTGCAGATTCTACAAAAAGAGAGTTTCAAAACTGCTCAGTCAAAAGAAATGTTAAACTCTCTCTGATGAATGCACACATCACAAAGAAGTTTCTCAGAATGCTTCCATCAAGTTTTTATGTGGAGATATTTCCTTTCTAGCATCGACCCCTAAGCACTCCAAATATCCACTTACAGATCCTTCAAAAAGTGTGTTTCAAAACTGCTGAATCAAAAGAAAGGTTCAACTCTGTGAGTTGAATGCACATATCAGAAAGAAGTTTCTCAGAATGCTTCTGTCTCGTTTATATGTGAAGGTATTTCCTTTTCCGTCAAACTCATCAAAGCGTTCCAAATATTCACTTGCACATTCTACAAAAAGAGTGTATCAAATCTGCTCAAGGAAAAGAATGGTTCAATTTGGTGAGATAAATGAACACATCACGAGGAAGTTTTGCAGAATGCTTCTGTCTAGTTTTTCTGTGAAAATATTGCCTTTACTACCATAGGACACAATCGCTCCAAATATCTATTTCAGATTCAAAAAAAAGGGTGTTTCAATATTGCTCGATGAAAGGAAAGATTCAACCCGGTGAGATGAACGCACATATCACAAAGAAGTTTCTCAGAAAGCTTCTGTCTAGCTTTTATGTGAAGATATTTCCTTTTAAACCATAGGCCACAATTCGCTCCAAATATCCACTTGCAGATTTATCAAAAAGACTGTTTCAAAACCCTCAATCAAAAGAAAGTTTCAACACTGTGAGATGAATGCACACACTAAAAAGAAGTTTCTCCGAATGCTTCTGTCTAGTTTTTATGTGAAGATATTTCCTTTTCCACCACAGGCCTGAAAGCACTCCAAATATTCACTTGCAGATTCTACAAAAAGAGTATTTCAAAACAGCTCCATCAAAAGAATGGTTCCGCTTGGTGAGATGAATGCACACATCACAAGGAAGTTTCTCAGAGTGCTTCTGTCTAGTTTTTACGTGAAGATATTTCCTTTTCCACCATAGACCACAAATCGCTCCAAATATCCACTTGCATATACAACAAAAAGAGTGTTTCAAAACTGCTCAATCAAAAGAAAGGTTCAACTCTGTGAGATGAATGCACACATCACAAAGTAGTTTCTCAGATTGCTTCTGTCTAGTTTTTATGTGAAGATATTTATTTTCCACCATAGGCCGCAAAGCGCTCCAAATATTCACTTGCAGATTCTAGAAAAAGAGTGTTTCAAAAGGCTAAATGAAAAGAAAGGTTCAACTCTGTGATATATATGCACACGTCACAAAGAAGTTTCTCAGAATGCTTCTGTCTACTATTTATGTGAAGGTATTTCCTTTTCCAAAATATGCCCCAAAGCGCTCCTATTATCCACAGGCAGATTCTACAAAAAGAGTGTCTCAAAACTTCTCAATCAAAAGAAAATTTCAACCCTGTGAGATGAATGCAAACATCACAAAGAAGTTTCTCAGAATGCTTCTGTCTAGTTTTTAAGTGAAGATATTTCCTTTTCCTCCATAGGCCTCAAAGCGCTCCAAATATCCTCTAGCAGATTCCACAAAAGAGTGTTTCAAAACTGCTTAATCAAAAGAAATGTTCAACTCTGTGAGAGGAATGCACACATCACAAATAAGTTTCTCAGAATGTTTCCTCTAGTTTTTATGTGAAGATATTTCCTTTTCCACCATAGTCCTCAAAGTGCTCCAAATATCCACTGGCTGATTCTCCGAAAAGAGCATTTCAAAACTGCTCAATCAAAAGAAATTTTCAATCTGTGAGATGAATGTGCACATCACAAAGAAGTTTGTCAGAATGCTTCCGTGTAGCTTTTATGTGAATTTATTCCCTTTTCCACAATAGGCCTCAAGTGGCTCCAAATGTCCACTTGCAGATTCTACAAAAAGAGAGTTTCAAAACTGCTCAGTCAAAAGAAATGTTAAACTCTCTCTGATGAATGCACACATCACAAAGAAGTTTCTCAGAATGCTTCCATCAAGTTTTTATGTGGAGATATTTCCTTTCTAGCATCGACCCCTAAGCACTCCAAATATCCACTTACAGATCCTTCAAAAAGTGTGTTTCAAAACTGCTGAATCAAAAGAAAGGTTCAACTCTGTGAGTTGAATGCACATATCAGAAAGAAGTTTCTCAGAATGCTTCTGTCTCGTTTATATGTGAAGGTATTTCCTTTTCCGTCAAACTCATCAAAGCGTTCCAAATATTCACTTGCACATTCTACAAAAAGAGTGTATCAAATCTGCTCAAGGAAAAGAATGGTTCAATTTGGTGAGATAAATGAACACATCACGAGGAAGTTTTGCAGAATGCTTCTGTCTAGTTTTTCTGTGAAAATATTGCCTTTACTACCATAGGACACAATCGCTCCAAATATCTATTTCAGATTCAAAAAAAAGGGTGTTTCAATATTGCTCGATGAAAGGAAAGATTCAACCCGGTGAGATGAACGCACATATCACAAAGAAGTTTCTCAGAAAGCTTCTGTCTAGCTTTTATGTGAAGATATTTCCTTTTAAACCATAGGCCACAATTCGCTCCAAATATCCACTTGCAGATTTATCAAAAAGACTGTTTCAAAACCCTCAATCAAAAGAAAGTTTCAACACTGTGAGATGAATGCACACACTAAAAAGAAGTTTCTCCGAATGCTTCTGTCTAGTTTTTATGTGAAGATATTTCCTTTTCCACCACAGGCCTGAAAGCACTCCAAATATTCACTTGCAGATTCTACAAAAAGAGTATTTCAAAACAGCTCCATCAAAAGAATGGTTCCGCTTGGTGAGATGAATGCACACATCACAAAGAAGTTTCTCAGAGTGCTTCTGTCTAGTTTTTACGTGAAGATATTTCCTTTTCCACCATAGACCACAAATCGCTCCAAATATCCACTTGCATATACAACAAAAAGAGTGTTTCAAAACTGCTCAATCAAAAGAAAGGTTCAACTCTGTGAGATGAATGCACACATCACAAAGTAGTTTCTCAGATTGCTTCTGTCTAGTTTTTATGTGAAGATATTTATTTTCCACCATAGGCCGCAAAGCGCTCCAAATATTCACTTGCAGATTCTAGAAAAAGAGTGTTTCAAAAGGCTAAATGAAAAGAAAGGTTCAACTCTGTGATATATATGCACACGTCACAAAGAAGTTTCTCAGAATGCTTCTGTCTACTATTTATGTGAAGGTATTTCCTTTTCCAAAATATGCCCCAAAGCGCTCCTATTATCCACAGGCAGATTCTACAAAAAGAGTGTCTCAAAACTTCTCAATCAAAAGAAAATTTCAACCCTGTGAGATGAATGCAAACATCACAAAGAAGTTTCTCAGAATGCTTCTGTCTAGTTTTTAAGTGAAGATATTTCCTTTTCCTCCATAGGCCTCAAAGCGCTCCAAATATCCTCTAGCAGATTCCACAAAAGAGTGTTTCAAAACTGCTTAATCAAAAGAAATGTTCAACTCTGTGAGAGGAATGCACACATCACAAATAAGTTTCTCAGAATGTTTCCTCTAGTTTTTATGTGAAGATATTTCCTTTTCCACCATAGTCCTCAAAGTGCTCCAAATATCCACTGGCTGATTCTCCGAAAAGAGCATTTCAAAACTGCTCAATCAAAAGAAATTTTCAATCTGTGAGATGAATGTGCACATCACAAAGAAGTTTGTCAGAATGCTTCCGTGTAGCTTTTATGTGAATTTATTCCCTTTTCCACAATAGGCCTCAAGTGGCTCCAAATGTCCACTTGCAGATTCTACAAAAAGAGAGTTTCAAAACTGCTCAGTCAAAAGAAATGTTAAACTCTCTCTGATGAATGCACACATCACAAAGAAGTTTCTCAGAATGCTTCCATCAAGTTTTTATGTGGAGATATTTCCTTTCTAGCATCGACCCCTAAGCACTCCAAATATCCACTTACAGATCCTTCAAAAAGTGTGTTTCAAAACTGCTGAATCAAAAGAAAGGTTCAACTCTGTGAGTTGAATGCACATATCAGAAAGAAGTTTCTCAGAATGCTTCTGTCTCGTTTATATGTGAAGGTATTTCCTTTTCCGTCAAACTCATCAAAGCGTTCCAAATATTCACTTGCACATTCTACAAAAAGAGTGTATCAAATCTGCTCAAGGAAAAGAATGGTTCAATTTGGTGAGATAAATGAACACATCACGAGGAAGTTTTGCAGAATGCTTCTGTCTAGTTTTTCTGTGAAAATATTGCCTTTACTACCATAGGACACAATCGCTCCAAATATCTATTTCAGATTCAAAAAAAAGGGTGTTTCAATATTGCTCGATGAAAGGAAAGATTCAACCCGGTGAGATGAACGCACATATCACAAAGAAGTTTCTCAGAAAGCTTCTGTCTAGCTTTTATGTGAAGATATTTCCTTTTAAACCATAGGCCACAATTCGCTCCAAATATCCACTTGCAGATTTATCAAAAAGACTGTTTCAAAACCCTCAATCAAAAGAAAGTTTCAACACTGTGAGATGAATGCACACACTAAAAAGAAGTTTCTCCGAATGCTTCTGTCTAGTTTTTATGTGAAGATATTTCCTTTTCCACCACAGGCCTGAAAGCACTCCAAATATTCACTTGCAGATTCTACAAAAAGAGTATTTCAAAACAGCTCCATCAAAAGAATGGTTCCGCTTGGTGAGATGAATGCACACATCACAAGGAAGTTTCTCAGAGTGCTTCTGTCTAGTTTTTACGTGAAGATATTTCCTTTTCCACCATAGACCACAAATCGCTCCAAATATCCACTCGCATATACAACAAAAAGAGTGTTTCAAAACTGCTCAATCAAAAGAAAGGTTCAACTCTGTGAGATGAATGCACACATCACAAAGTAGTTTCTCAGATTGCTTCTGTCTAGTTTTTATGTGAAGATATTTATTTTCCACCATAGGCCGCAAAGCGCTCCAAATATTCACTTGCAGATTCTAGAAAAAGAGTGTTTCAAAAGGCTAAATGAAAAGAAAGGTTCAACTCTGTGATATATATGCACACGTCACAAAGAAGTTTCTCAGAATGCTTCTGTCTACTATTTATGTGAAGGTATTTCCTTTTCCAAAATATGCCCCAAAGCGCTCCTATTATCCACAGGCAGATTCTACAAAAAGAGTGTCTCAAAACTTCTCAATCAAAAGAAAATTTCAACCCTGTGAGATGAATGCAAACATCACAAAGAAGTTTCTCAGAATGCTTCTGTCTAGTTTTTAAGTGAAGATATTTCCTTTTCCTCCATAGGCCTCAAAGCGCTCCAAATATCCTCTAGCAGATTCCACAAAAGAGTGTTTCAAAACTGCTTAATCAAAAGAAATGTTCAACTCTGTGAGAGGAATGCACACATCACAAATAAGTTTCTCAGAATGTTTCCTCTAGTTTTTATGTGAAGATATTTCCTTTTCCACCATAGTCCTCAAAGTGCTCCAAATATCCACTGGCTGATTCTCCGAAAAGAGCATTTCAAAACTGCTCAATCAAAAGAAATTTTCAATCTGTGAGATGAATGTGCACATCACAAAGAAGTTTGTCAGAATGCTTCCGTGTAGCTTTTATGTGAATTTATTCCCTTTTCCACAATAGGCCTCAAGTGGCTCCAAATGTCCACTTGCAGATTCTACAAAAAGAGAGTTTCAAAACTGCTCAGTCAAAAGAAATGTTAAACTCTCTCTGATGAATGCACACATCACAAAGAAGTTTCTCAGAATGCTTCCATCAAGTTTTTATGTGGAGATATTTCCTTTCTAGCATCGACCCCTAAGCACTCCAAATATCCACTTACAGATCCTTCAAAAAGTGTGTTTCAAAACTGCTGAATCAAAAGAAAGGTTCAACTCTGTGAGTTGAATGCACATATCAGAAAGAAGTTTCTCAGAATGCTTCTGTCTCGTTTATATGTGAAGGTATTTCCTTTTCCGTCAAACTCATCAAAGCGTTCCAAATATTCACTTGCACATTCTACAAAAAGAGTGTATCAAATCTGCTCAAGGAAAAGAATGGTTCAATTTGGTGAGATAAATGAACACATCACGAGGAAGTTTTGCAGAATGCTTCTGTCTAGTTTTTCTGTGAAAATATTGCCTTTACTACCATAGGACACAATCGCTCCAAATATCTATTTCAGATTCAAAAAAAAGGGTGTTTCAATATTGCTCGATGAAAGGAAAGATTCAACCCGGTGAGATGAACGCACATATCACAAAGAAGTTTCTCAGAAAGCTTCTGTCTAGCTTTTATGTGAAGATATTTCCTTTTAAACCATAGGCCACAATTCGCTCCAAATATCCACTTGCAGATTTATCAAAAAGACTGTTTCAAAACCCTCAATCAAAAGAAAGTTTCAACACTGTGAGATGAATGCACACACTAAAAAGAAGTTTCTCCGAATGCTTCTGTCTAGTTTTTATGTGAAGATATTTCCTTTTCCACCACAGGCCTGAAAGCACTCCAAATATTCACTTGCAGATTCTACAAAAAGAGTATTTCAAAACAGCTCCATCAAAAGAATGGTTCCGCTTGGTGAGATGAATGCACACATCACAAAGAAGTTTCTCAGAGTGCTTCTGTCTAGTTTTTACGTGAAGATATTTCCTTTTCCACCATAGACCACAAATCGCTCCAAATATCCACTTGCATATACAACAAAAAGAGTGTTTCAAAACTGCTCAATCAAAAGAAAGGTTCAACTCTGTGAGATGAATGCACACATCACAAAGTAGTTTCTCAGATTGCTTCTGTCTAGTTTTTATGTGAAGATATTTATTTTCCACCATAGGCCGCAAAGCGCTCCAAATATTCACTTGCAGATTCTAGAAAAAGAGTGTTTCAAAAGGCTAAATGAAAAGAAAGGTTCAACTCTGTGATATATATGCACACGTCACAAAGAAGTTTCTCAGAATGCTTCTGTCTACTATTTATGTGAAGGTATTTCCTTTTCCAAAATATGCCCCAAAGCGCTCCTATTATCCACAGGCAGATTCTACAAAAAGAGTGTCTCAAAACTTCTCAATCAAAAGAAAATTTCAACCCTGTGAGATGAATGCAAACATCACAAAGAAGTTTCTCAGAATGCTTCTGTCTAGTTTTTAAGTGAAGATATTTCCTTTTCCTCCATAGGCCTCAAAGCGCTCCAAATATCCTCTAGCAGATTCCACAAAAGAGTGTTTCAAAACTGCTTAATCAAAAGAAATGTTCAACTCTGTGAGAGGAATGCACACATCACAAATAAGTTTCTCAGAATGTTTCCTCTAGTTTTTATGTGAAGATATTTCCTTTTCCACCATAGTCCTCAAAGTGCTCCAAATATCCACTGGCTGATTCTCCGAAAAGAGCATTTCAAAACTGCTCAATCAAAAGAAATTTTCAATCTGTGAGATGAATGTGCACATCACAAAGAAGTTTGTCAGAATGCTTCCGTGTAGCTTTTATGTGAATTTATTCCCTTTTCCACAATAGGCCTCAAGTGGCTCCAAATGTCCACTTGCAGATTCTACAAAAAGAGAGTTTCAAAACTGCTCAGTCAAAAGAAATGTTAAACTCTCTCTGATGAATGCACACATCACAAAGAAGTTTCTCAGAATGCTTCCATCAAGTTTTTATGTGGAGATATTTCCTTTCTAGCATCGACCCCTAAGCACTCCAAATATCCACTTACAGATCCTTCAAAAAGTGTGTTTCAAAACTGCTGAATCAAAAGAAAGGTTCAACTCTGTGAGTTGAATGCACATATCAGAAAGAAGTTTCTCAGAATGCTTCTGTCTCGTTTATATGTGAAGGTATTTCCTTTTCCGTCAAACTCATCAAAGCGTTCCAAATATTCACTTGCACATTCTACAAAAAGAGTGTATCAAATCTGCTCAAGGAAAAGAATGGTTCAATTTGGTGAGATAAATGAACACATCACGAGGAAGTTTTGCAGAATGCTTCTGTCTAGTTTTTCTGTGAAAATATTGCCTTTACTACCATAGGACACAATCGCTCCAAATATCTATTTCAGATTCAAAAAAAAGGGTGTTTCAATATTGCTCGATGAAAGGAAAGATTCAACCCGGTGAGATGAACGCACATATCACAAAGAAGTTTCTCAGAAAGCTTCTGTCTAGCTTTTATGTGAAGATATTTCCTTTTAAACCATAGGCCACAATTCGCTCCAAATATCCACTTGCAGATTTATCAAAAAGACTGTTTCAAAACCCTCAATCAAAAGAAAGTTTCAACACTGTGAGATGAATGCACACACTAAAAAGAAGTTTCTCCGAATGCTTCTGTCTAGTTTTTATGTGAAGATATTTCCTTTTCCACCACAGGCCTGAAAGCACTCCAAATATTCACTTGCAGATTCTACAAAAAGAGTATTTCAAAACAGCTCCATCAAAAGAATGGTTCCGCTTGGTGAGATGAATGCACACATCACAAAGAAGTTTCTCAGAGTGCTTCTGTCTAGTTTTTACGTGAAGATATTTCCTTTTCCACCATAGACCACAAATCGCTCCAAATATCCACTTGCATATACAACAAAAAGAGTGTTTCAAAACTGCTCAATCAAAAGAAAGGTTCAACTCTGTGAGATGAATGCACACATCACAAAGTAGTTTCTCAGATTGCTTCTGTCTAGTTTTTATGTGAAGATATTTATTTTCCACCATAGGCCGCAAAGCGCTCCAAATATTCACTTGCAGATTCTAGAAAAAGAGTGTTTCAAAAGGCTAAATGAAAAGAAAGGTTCAACTCTGTGATATATATGCACACGTCACAAAGAAGTTTCTCAGAATGCTTCTGTCTACTATTTATGTGAAGGTATTTCCTTTTCCAAAATATGCCCCAAAGCGCTCCTATTATCCACAGGCAGATTCTACAAAAAGAGTGTCTCAAAACTTCTCAATCAAAAGAAAATTTCAACCCTGTGAGATGAATGCAAACATCACAAAGAAGTTTCTCAGAATGCTTCTGTCTAGTTTTTAAGTGAAGATATTTCCTTTTCCTCCATAGGCCTCAAAGCGCTCCAAATATCCTCTAGCAGATTCCACAAAAGAGTGTTTCAAAACTGCTTAATCAAAAGAAATGTTCAACTCTGTGAGAGGAATGCACACATCACAAATAAGTTTCTCAGAATGTTTCCTCTAGTTTTTATGTGAAGATATTTCCTTTTCCACCATAGTCCTCAAAGTGCTCCAAATATCCACTGGCTGATTCTCCGAAAAGAGCATTTCAAAACTGCTCAATCAAAAGAAATTTTCAATCTGTGAGATGAATGTGCACATCACAAAGAAGTTTGTCAGAATGCTTCCGTGTAGCTTTTATGTGAATTTATTCCCTTTTCCACAATAGGCCTCAAGTGGCTCCAAATGTCCACTTGCAGATTCTACAAAAAGAGAGTTTCAAAACTGCTCAGTCAAAAGAAATGTTAAACTCTCTCTGATGAATGCACACATCACAAAGAAGTTTCTCAGAATGCTTCCATCAAGTTTTTATGTGGAGATATTTCCTTTCTAGCATCGACCCCTAAGCACTCCAAATATCCACTTACAGATCCTTCAAAAAGTGTGTTTCAAAACTGCTGAATCAAAAGAAAGGTTCAACTCTGTGAGTTGAATGCACATATCAGAAAGAAGTTTCTCAGAATGCTTCTGTCTCGTTTATATGTGAAGGTATTTCCTTTTCCGTCAAACTCATCAAAGCGTTCCAAATATTCACTTGCACATTCTACAAAAAGAGTGTATCAAATCTGCTCAAGGAAAAGAATGGTTCAATTTGGTGAGATAAATGAACACATCACGAGGAAGTTTTGCAGAATGCTTCTGTCTAGTTTTTCTGTGAAAATATTGCCTTTACTACCATAGGACACAATCGCTCCAAATATCTATTTCAGATTCAAAAAAAAGGGTGTTTCAATATTGCTCGATGAAAGGAAAGATTCAACCCGGTGAGATGAACGCACATATCACAAAGAAGTTTCTCAGAAAGCTTCTGTCTAGCTTTTATGTGAAGATATTTCCTTTTAAACCATAGGCCACAATTCGCTCCAAATATCCACTTGCAGATTTATCAAAAAGACTGTTTCAAAACCCTCAATCAAAAGAAAGTTTCAACACTGTGAGATGAATGCACACACTAAAAAGAAGTTTCTCCGAATGCTTCTGTCTAGTTTTTATGTGAAGATATTTCCTTTTCCACCACAGGCCTGAAAGCACTCCAAATATTCACTTGCAGATTCTACAAAAAGAGTATTTCAAAACAGCTCCATCAAAAGAATGGTTCCGCTTGGTGAGATGAATGCACACATCACAAAGAAGTTTCTCAGAGTGCTTCTGTCTAGTTTTTACGTGAAGATATTTCCTTTTCCACCATAGACCACAAATCGCTCCAAATATCCACTTGCATATACAACAAAAAGAGTGTTTCAAAACTGCTCAATCAAAAGAAAGGTTCAACTCTGTGAGATGAATGCACACATCACAAAGTAGTTTCTCAGATTGCTTCTGTCTAGTTTTTATGTGAAGATATTTATTTTCCACCATAGGCCGCAAAGCGCTCCAAATATTCACTTGCAGATTCTAGAAAAAGAGTGTTTCAAAAGGCTAAATGAAAAGAAAGGTTCAACTCTGTGATATATATGCACACGTCACAAAGAAGTTTCTCAGAATGCTTCTGTCTACTATTTATGTGAAGGTATTTCCTTTTCCAAAATATGCCCCAAAGCGCTCCTATTATCCACAGGCAGATTCTACAAAAAGAGTGTCTCAAAACTTCTCAATCAAAAGAAAATTTCAACCCTGTGAGATGAATGCAAACATCACAAAGAAGTTTCTCAGAATGCTTCTGTCTAGTTTTTAAGTGAAGATATTTCCTTTTCCTCCATAGGCCTCAAAGCGCTCCAAATATCCTCTAGCAGATTCCACAAAAGAGTGTTTCAAAACTGCTTAATCAAAAGAAATGTTCAACTCTGTGAGAGGAATGCACACATCACAAATAAGTTTCTCAGAATGTTTCCTCTAGTTTTTATGTGAAGATATTTCCTTTTCCACCATAGTCCTCAAAGTGCTCCAAATATCCACTGGCTGATTCTCCGAAAAGAGCATTTCAAAACTGCTCAATCAAAAGAAATTTTCAATCTGTGAGATGAATGTGCACATCACAAAGAAGTTTGTCAGAATGCTTCCGTGTAGCTTTTATGTGAATTTATTCCCTTTTCCACAATAGGCCTCAAGTGGCTCCAAATGTCCACTTGCAGATTCTACAAAAAGAGAGTTTCAAAACTGCTCAGTCAAAAGAAATGTTAAACTCTCTCTGATGAATGCACACATCACAAAGAAGTTTCTCAGAATGCTTCCATCAAGTTTTTATGTGGAGATATTTCCTTTCTAGCATCGACCCCTAAGCACTCCAAATATCCACTTACAGATCCTTCAAAAAGTGTGTTTCAAAACTGCTGAATCAAAAGAAAGGTTCAACTCTGTGAGTTGAATGCACATATCAGAAAGAAGTTTCTCAGAATGCTTCTGTCTCGTTTATATGTGAAGGTATTTCCTTTTCCGTCAAACTCATCAAAGCGTTCCAAATATTCACTTGCACATTCTACAAAAAGAGTGTATCAAATCTGCTCAAGGAAAAGAATGGTTCAATTTGGTGAGATAAATGAACACATCACGAGGAAGTTTTGCAGAATGCTTCTGTCTAGTTTTTCTGTGAAAATATTGCCTTTACTACCATAGGACACAATCGCTCCAAATATCTATTTCAGATTCAAAAAAAAGGGTGTTTCAATATTGCTCGATGAAAGGAAAGATTCAACCCGGTGAGATGAACGCACATATCACAAAGAAGTTTCTCAGAAAGCTTCTGTCTAGCTTTTATGTGAAGATATTTCCTTTTAAACCATAGGCCACAATTCGCTCCAAATATCCACTTGCAGATTTATCAAAAAGACTGTTTCAAAACCCTCAATCAAAAGAAAGTTTCAACACTGTGAGATGAATGCACACACTAAAAAGAAGTTTCTCCGAATGCTTCTGTCTAGTTTTTATGTGAAGATATTTCCTTTTCCACCACAGGCCTGAAAGCACTCCAAATATTCACTTGCAGATTCTACAAAAAGAGTATTTCAAAACAGCTCCATCAAAAGAATGGTTCCGCTTGGTGAGATGAATGCACACATCACAAAGAAGTTTCTCAGAGTGCTTCTGTCTAGTTTTTACGTGAAGATATTTCCTTTTCCACCATAGACCACAAATCGCTCCAAATATCCACTCGCATATACAACAAAAAGAGTGTTTCAAAACTGCTCAATCAAAAGAAAGGTTCAACTCTGTGAGATGAATGCACACATCACAAAGTAGTTTCTCAGATTGCTTCTGTCTAGTTTTTATGTGAAGATATTTATTTTCCACCATAGGCCGCAAAGCGCTCCAAATATTCACTTGCAGATTCTAGAAAAAGAGTGTTTCAAAAGGCTAAATGAAAAGAAAGGTTCAACTCTGTGATATATATGCACACGTCACAAAGAAGTTTCTCAGAATGCTTCTGTCTACTATTTATGTGAAGGTATTTCCTTTTCCAAAATATGCCCCAAAGCGCTCCTATTATCCACAGGCAGATTCTACAAAAAGAGTGTCTCAAAACTTCTCAATCAAAAGAAAATTTCAACCCTGTGAGATGAATGCAAACATCACAAAGAAGTTTCTCAGAATGCTTCTGTCTAGTTTTTAAGTGAAGATATTTCCTTTTCCTCCATAGGCCTCAAAGCGCTCCAAATATCCTCTAGCAGATTCCACAAAAGAGTGTTTCAAAACTGCTTAATCAAAAGAAATGTTCAACTCTGTGAGAGGAATGCACACATCACAAATAAGTTTCTCAGAATGTTTCCTCTAGTTTTTATGTGAAGATATTTCCTTTTCCACCATAGTCCTCAAAGTGCTCCAAATATCCACTGGCTGATTCTCCGAAAAGAGCATTTCAAAACTGCTCAATCAAAAGAAATTTTCAATCTGTGAGATGAATGTGCACATCACAAAGAAGTTTGTCAGAATGCTTCCGTGTAGCTTTTATGTGAATTTATTCCCTTTTCCACAATAGGCCTCAAGTGGCTCCAAATGTCCACTTGCAGATTCTACAAAAAGAGAGTTTCAAAACTGCTCAGTCAAAAGAAATGTTAAACTCTCTCTGATGAATGCACACATCACAAAGAAGTTTCTCAGAATGCTTCCATCAAGTTTTTATGTGGAGATATTTCCTTTCTAGCATCGACCCCTAAGCACTCCAAATATCCACTTACAGATCCTTCAAAAAGTGTGTTTCAAAACTGCTGAATCAAAAGAAAGGTTCAACTCTGTGAGTTGAATGCACATATCAGAAAGAAGTTTCTCAGAATGCTTCTGTCTCGTTTATATGTGAAGGTATTTCCTTTTCCGTCAAACTCATCAAAGCGTTCCAAATATTCACTTGCACATTCTACAAAAAGAGTGTATCAAATCTGCTCAAGGAAAAGAATGGTTCAATTTGGTGAGATAAATGAACACATCACGAGGAAGTTTTGCAGAATGCTTCTGTCTAGTTTTTCTGTGAAAATATTGCCTTTACTACCATAGGACACAATCGCTCCAAATATCTATTTCAGATTCAAAAAAAAGGGTGTTTCAATATTGCTCGATGAAAGGAAAGATTCAACCCGGTGAGATGAACGCACATATCACAAAGAAGTTTCTCAGAAAGCTTCTGTCTAGCTTTTATGTGAAGATATTTCCTTTTAAACCATAGGCCACAATTCGCTCCAAATATCCACTTGCAGATTTATCAAAAAGACTGTTTCAAAACCCTCAATCAAAAGAAAGTTTCAACACTGTGAGATGAATGCACACACTAAAAAGAAGTTTCTCCGAATGCTTCTGTCTAGTTTTTATGTGAAGATATTTCCTTTTCCACCACAGGCCTGAAAGCACTCCAAATATTCACTTGCAGATTCTACAAAAAGAGTATTTCAAAACAGCTCCATCAAAAGAATGGTTCCGCTTGGTGAGATGAATGCACACATCACAAAGAAGTTTCTCAGAGTGCTTCTGTCTAGTTTTTACGTGAAGATATTTCCTTTTCCACCATAGACCACAAATCGCTCCAAATATCCACTTGCATATACAACAAAAAGAGTGTTTCAAAACTGCTCAATCAAAAGAAAGGTTCAACTCTGTGAGATGAATGCACACATCACAAAGTAGTTTCTCAGATTGCTTCTGTCTAGTTTTTATGTGAAGATATTTATTTTCCACCATAGGCCGCAAAGCGCTCCAAATATTCACTTGCAGATTCTAGAAAAAGAGTGTTTCAAAAGGCTAAATGAAAAGAAAGGTTCAACTCTGTGATATATATGCACACGTCACAAAGAAGTTTCTCAGAATGCTTCTGTCTACTATTTATGTGAAGGTATTTCCTTTTCCAAAATATGCCCCAAAGCGCTCCTATTATCCACAGGCAGATTCTACAAAAAGAGTGTCTCAAAACTTCTCAATCAAAAGAAAATTTCAACCCTGTGAGATGAATGCAAACATCACAAAGAAGTTTCTCAGAATGCTTCTGTCTAGTTTTTAAGTGAAGATATTTCCTTTTCCTCCATAGGCCTCAAAGCGCTCCAAATATCCTCTAGCAGATTCCACAAAAGAGTGTTTCAAAACTGCTTAATCAAAAGAAATGTTCAACTCTGTGAGAGGAATGCACACATCACAAATAAGTTTCTCAGAATGTTTCCTCTAGTTTTTATGTGAAGATATTTCCTTTTCCACCATAGTCCTCAAAGTGCTCCAAATATCCACTGGCTGATTCTCCGAAAAGAGCATTTCAAAACTGCTCAATCAAAAGAAATTTTCAATCTGTGAGATGAATGTGCACATCACAAAGAAGTTTGTCAGAATGCTTCCGTGTAGCTTTTATGTGAATTTATTCCCTTTTCCACAATAGGCCTCAAGTGGCTCCAAATGTCCACTTGCAGATTCTACAAAAAGAGAGTTTCAAAACTGCTCAGTCAAAAGAAATGTTAAACTCTCTCTGATGAATGCACACATCACAAAGAAGTTTCTCAGAATGCTTCCATCAAGTTTTTATGTGGAGATATTTCCTTTCTAGCATCGACCCCTAAGCACTCCAAATATCCACTTACAGATCCTTCAAAAAGTGTGTTTCAAAACTGCTGAATCAAAAGAAAGGTTCAACTCTGTGAGTTGAATGCACATATCAGAAAGAAGTTTCTCAGAATGCTTCTGTCTCGTTTATATGTGAAGGTATTTCCTTTTCCGTCAAACTCATCAAAGCGTTCCAAATATTCACTTGCACATTCTACAAAAAGAGTGTATCAAATCTGCTCAAGGAAAAGAATGGTTCAATTTGGTGAGATAAATGAACACATCACGAGGAAGTTTTGCAGAATGCTTCTGTCTAGTTTTTCTGTGAAAATATTGCCTTTACTACCATAGGACACAATCGCTCCAAATATCTATTTCAGATTCAAAAAAAAGGGTGTTTCAATATTGCTCGATGAAAGGAAAGATTCAACCCGGTGAGATGAACGCACATATCACAAAGAAGTTTCTCAGAAAGCTTCTGTCTAGCTTTTATGTGAAGATATTTCCTTTTAAACCATAGGCCACAATTCGCTCCAAATATCCACTTGCAGATTTATCAAAAAGACTGTTTCAAAACCCTCAATCAAAAGAAAGTTTCAACACTGTGAGATGAATGCACACACTAAAAAGAAGTTTCTCCGAATGCTTCTGTCTAGTTTTTATGTGAAGATATTTCCTTTTCCACCACAGGCCTGAAAGCACTCCAAATATTCACTTGCAGATTCTACAAAAAGAGTATTTCAAAACAGCTCCATCAAAAGAATGGTTCCGCTTGGTGAGATGAATGCACACATCACAAGGAAGTTTCTCAGAGTGCTTCTGTCTAGTTTTTACGTGAAGATATTTCCTTTTCCACCATAGACCACAAATCGCTCCAAATATCCACTTGCATATACAACAAAAAGAGTGTTTCAAAACTGCTCAATCAAAAGAAAGGTTCAACTCTGTGAGATGAATGCACACATCACAAAGTAGTTTCTCAGATTGCTTCTGTCTAGTTTTTATGTGAAGATATTTATTTTCCACCATAGGCCGCAAAGCGCTCCAAATATTCACTTGCAGATTCTAGAAAAAGAGTGTTTCAAAAGGCTAAATGAAAAGAAAGGTTCAACTCTGTGATATATATGCACACGTCACAAAGAAGTTTCTCAGAATGCTTCTGTCTACTATTTATGTGAAGGTATTTCCTTTTCCAAAATATGCCCCAAAGCGCTCCTATTATCCACAGGCAGATTCTACAAAAAGAGTGTCTCAAAACTTCTCAATCAAAAGAAAATTTCAACCCTGTGAGATGAATGCAAACATCACAAAGAAGTTTCTCAGAATGCTTCTGTCTAGTTTTTAAGTGAAGATATTTCCTTTTCCTCCATAGGCCTCAAAGCACTCCAAATATCCTCTAGCAGATTCCACAAAAGAGTGTTTCAAAACTGCTTAATCAAAAGAAATGTTCAACTCTGTGAGAGGAATGCACACATCACAAATAAGTTTCTCAGAATGTTTCCTCTAGTTTTTATGTGAAGATATTTCCTTTTCCACCATAGTCCTCAAAGTGCTCCAAATATCCACTGGCTGATTCTCCGAAAAGAGCATTTCAAAACTGCTCAATCAAAAGAAATTTTCAATCTGTGAGATGAATGTGCACATCACAAAGAAGTTTGTCAGAATGCTTCCGTGTAGCTTTTATGTGAATTTATTCCCTTTTCCACAATAGGCCTCAAGTGGCTCCAAATGTCCACTTGCAGATTCTACAAAAAGAGAGTTTCAAAACTGCTCAGTCAAAAGAAATGTTAAACTCTCTCTGATGAATGCACACATCACAAAGAAGTTTCTCAGAATGCTTCCATCAAGTTTTTATGTGGAGATATTTCCTTTCTAGCATCGACCCCTAAGCACTCCAAATATCCACTTACAGATCCTTCAAAAAGTGTGTTTCAAAACTGCTGAATCAAAAGAAAGGTTCAACTCTGTGAGTTGAATGCACATATCAGAAAGAAGTTTCTCAGAATGCTTCTGTCTCGTTTATATGTGAAGGTATTTCCTTTTCCGTCAAACTCATCAAAGCGTTCCAAATATTCACTTGCACATTCTACAAAAAGAGTGTATCAAATCTGCTCAAGGAAAAGAATGGTTCAATTTGGTGAGATAAATGAACACATCACGAGGAAGTTTTGCAGAATGCTTCTGTCTAGTTTTTCTGTGAAAATATTGCCTTTACTACCATAGGACACAATCGCTCCAAATATCTATTTCAGATTCAAAAAAAAGGGTGTTTCAATATTGCTCGATGAAAGGAAAGATTCAACCCGGTGAGATGAACGCACATATCACAAAGAAGTTTCTCAGAAAGCTTCTGTCTAGCTTTTATGTGAAGATATTTCCTTTTAAACCATAGGCCACAATTCGCTCCAAATATCCACTTGCAGATTTATCAAAAAGACTGTTTCAAAACCCTCAATCAAAAGAAAGTTTCAACACTGTGAGATGAATGCACACACTAAAAAGAAGTTTCTCCGAATGCTTCTGTCTAGTTTTTATGTGAAGATATTTCCTTTTCCACCACAGGCCTGAAAGCACTCCAAATATTCACTTGCAGATTCTACAAAAAGAGTATTTCAAAACAGCTCCATCAAAAGAATGGTTCCGCTTGGTGAGATGAATGCACACATCACAAGGAAGTTTCTCAGAGTGCTTCTGTCTAGTTTTTACGTGAAGATATTTCCTTTTCCACCATAGACCACAAATCGCTCCAAATATCCACTTGCATATACAACAAAAAGAGTGTTTCAAAACTGCTCAATCAAAAGAAAGGTTCAACTCTGTGAGATGAATGCACACATCACAAAGTAGTTTCTCAGATTGCTTCTGTCTAGTTTTTATGTGAAGATATTTATTTTCCACCATAGGCCGCAAAGCGCTCCAAATATTCACTTGCAGATTCTAGAAAAAGAGTGTTTCAAAAGGCTAAATGAAAAGAAAGGTTCAACTCTGTGATATATATGCACACGTCACAAAGAAGTTTCTCAGAATGCTTCTGTCTACTATTTATGTGAAGGTATTTCCTTTTCCAAAATATGCCCCAAAGCGCTCCTATTATCCACAGGCAGATTCTACAAAAAGAGTGTCTCAAAACTTCTCAATCAAAAGAAAATTTCAACCCTGTGAGATGAATGCAAACATCACAAAGAAGTTTCTCAGAATGCTTCTGTCTAGTTTTTAAGTGAAGATATTTCCTTTTCCTCCATAGGCCTCAAAGCGCTCCAAATATCCTCTAGCAGATTCCACAAAAGAGTGTTTCAAAACTGCTTAATCAAAAGAAATGTTCAACTCTGTGAGAGGAATGCACACATCACAAATAAGTTTCTCAGAATGTTTCCTCTAGTTTTTATGTGAAGATATTTCCTTTTCCACCATAGTCCTCAAAGTGCTCCAAATATCCACTGGCTGATTCTCCGAAAAGAGCATTTCAAAACTGCTCAATCAAAAGAAATTTTCAATCTGTGAGATGAATGTGCACATCACAAAGAAGTTTGTCAGAATGCTTCCGTGTAGCTTTTATGTGAATTTATTCCCTTTTCCACAATAGGCCTCAAGTGGCTCCAAATGTCCACTTGCAGATTCTACAAAAAGAGAGTTTCAAAACTGCTCAGTCAAAAGAAATGTTAAACTCTCTCTGATGAATGCACACATCACAAAGAAGTTTCTCAGAATGCTTCCATCAAGTTTTTATGTGGAGATATTTCCTTTCTAGCATCGACCCCTAAGCACTCCAAATATCCACTTACAGATCCTTCAAAAAGTGTGTTTCAAAACTGCTGAATCAAAAGAAAGGTTCAACTCTGTGAGTTGAATGCACATATCAGAAAGAAGTTTCTCAGAATGCTTCTGTCTCGTTTATATGTGAAGGTATTTCCTTTTCCGTCAAACTCATCAAAGCGTTCCAAATATTCACTTGCACATTCTACAAAAAGAGTGTATCAAATCTGCTCAAGGAAAAGAATGGTTCAATTTGGTGAGATAAATGAACACATCACGAGGAAGTTTTGCAGAATGCTTCTGTCTAGTTTTTCTGTGAAAATATTGCCTTTACTACCATAGGACACAATCGCTCCAAATATCTATTTCAGATTCAAAAAAAAGGGTGTTTCAATATTGCTCGATGAAAGGAAAGATTCAACCCGGTGAGATGAACGCACATATCACAAAGAAGTTTCTCAGAAAGCTTCTGTCTAGCTTTTATGTGAAGATATTTCCTTTTAAACCATAGGCCACAATTCGCTCCAAATATCCACTTGCAGATTTATCAAAAAGACTGTTTCAAAACCCTCAATCAAAAGAAAGTTTCAACACTGTGAGATGAATGCACACACTAAAAAGAAGTTTCTCCGAATGCTTCTGTCTAGTTTTTATGTGAAGATATTTCCTTTTCCACCACAGGCCTGAAAGCACTCCAAATATTCACTTGCAGATTCTACAAAAAGAGTATTTCAAAACAGCTCCATCAAAAGAATGGTTCCGCTTGGTGAGATGAATGCACACATCACAAAGAAGTTTCTCAGAGTGCTTCTGTCTAGTTTTTACGTGAAGATATTTCCTTTTCCACCATAGACCACAAATCGCTCCAAATATCCACTTGCATATACAACAAAAAGAGTGTTTCAAAACTGCTCAATCAAAAGAAAGGTTCAACTCTGTGAGATGAATGCACACATCACAAAGTAGTTTCTCAGATTGCTTCTGTCTAGTTTTTATGTGAAGATATTTATTTTCCACCATAGGCCGCAAAGCGCTCCAAATATTCACTTGCAGATTCTAGAAAAAGAGTGTTTCAAAAGGCTAAATGAAAAGAAAGGTTCAACTCTGTGATATATATGCACACGTCACAAAGAAGTTTCTCAGAATGCTTCTGTCTCGTTTATATGTGAAGGTATTTCCTTTTCCGTCAAACTCATCAAAGCGTTCCAAATATTCACGTGCACATTCTACAAAAAGAGTGTATCAAATCTGCTCAAGGAAAAGAATGGTTCAATTTGGTGAGATAAATGAACACATCACGAGGAAGTTTTGCAGAATGCTTCTGTCTAGTTTTTCTGTGAAAATATTGCCTTTACTACCATAGGACACAATCGCTCCAAATATCTATTTCAGATTCAAAAAAAAGGGTGTTTCAATATTGCTCGATGAAAGGAAAGATTCAACCCGGTGAGATGAACGCACATATCACAAAGAAGTTTCTCAGAAAGCTTCTGTCTAGCTTTTATGTGAAGATATTTCCTTTTAAACCATAGGCCACAATTCGCTCCAAATATCCACTTGCAGATTTATCAAAAAGACTGTTTCAAAACCCTCAATCAAAAGAAAGTTTCAACACTGTGAGATGAATGCACACACTAAAAAGAAGTTTCTCCGAATGCTTCTGTCTAGTTTTTATGTGAAGATATTTCCTTTTCCACCACAGGCCTGAAAGCACTCCAAATATTCACTTGCAGATTCTACAAAAAGAGTATTTCAAAACAGCTCCATCAAAAGAATGGTTCCGCTTGGTGAGATGAATGCACACATCACAAAGAAGTTTCTCAGAGTGCTTCTGTCTAGTTTTTACGTGAAGATATTTCCTTTTCCACCATAGACCACAAATCGCTCCAAATATCCACTTGCATATACAACAAAAAGAGTGTTTCAAAACTGCTCAATCAAAAGAAAGGTTCAACTCTGTGAGATGAATGCACACATCACAAAGTAGTTTCTCAGATTGCTTCTGTCTAGTTTTTATGTGAAGATATTTATTTTCCACCATAGGCCGCAAAGCGCTCCAAATATTCACTTGCAGATTCTAGAAAAAGAGTGTTTCAAAAGGCTAAATGAAAAGAAAGGTTCAACTCTGTGATATATATGCACACGTCACAAAGAAGTTTCTCAGAATGCTTCTGTCTACTATTTATGTGAAGGTATTTCCTTTTCCAAAATATGCCCCAAAGCGCTCCTATTATCCACAGGCAGATTCTACAAAAAGAGTGTCTCAAAACTTCTCAATCAAAAGAAAATTTCAACCCTGTGAGATGAATGCAAACATCACAAAGAAGTTTCTCAGAATGCTTCTGTCTAGTTTTTAAGTGAAGATATTTCCTTTTCCTCCATAGGCCTCAAAGCGCTCCAAATATCCTCTAGCAGATTCCACAAAAGAGTGTTTCAAAACTGCTTAATCAAAAGAAATGTTCAACTCTGTGAGAGGAATGCACACATCACAAATAAGTTTCTCAGAATGTTTCCTCTAGTTTTTATGTGAAGATATTTCCTTTTCCACCATAGTCCTCAAAGTGCTCCAAATATCCACTGGCTGATTCTCCGAAAAGAGCATTTCAAAACTGCTCAATCAAAAGAAATTTTCAATCTGTGAGATGAATGTGCACATCACAAAGAAGTTTGTCAGAATGCTTCCGTGTAGCTTTTATGTGAATTTATTCCCTTTTCCACAATAGGCCTCAAGTGGCTCCAAATGTCCACTTGCAGATTCTACAAAAAGAGAGTTTCAAAACTGCTCAGTCAAAAGAAATGTTAAACTCTCTCTGATGAATGCACACATCACAAAGAAGTTTCTCAGAATGCTTCCATCAAGTTTTTATGTGGAGATATTTCCTTTCTAGCATCGACCCCTAAGCACTCCAAATATCCACTTACAGATCCTTCAAAAAGTGTGTTTCAAAACTGCTGAATCAAAAGAAAGGTTCAACTCTGTGAGTTGAATGCACATATCAGAAAGAAGTTTCTCAGAATGCTTCTGTCTCGTTTATATGTGAAGGTATTTCCTTTTCCGTCAAACTCATCAAAGCGTTCCAAATATTCACTTGCACATTCTACAAAAAGAGTGTATCAAATCTGCTCAAGGAAAAGAATGGTTCAATTTGGTGAGATAAATGAACACATCA
This sequence comes from Homo sapiens, assembly GCF_000001405.40. Taxonomy (NCBI): domain Eukaryota; kingdom Metazoa; phylum Chordata; class Mammalia; order Primates; family Hominidae; genus Homo; species Homo sapiens. The sequence goes on along the minus strand of NC_000020.11, from coordinate 28,966,633 downwards.
CGAGGAAGTTTTGCAGAATGCTTCTGTCTAGTTTTTCTGTGAAAATATTGCCTTTACTACCATAGGACACAATCGCTCCAAATATCTATTTCAGATTCAAAAAAAAGGGTGTTTCAATATTGCTCGATGAAAGGAAAGATTCAACCCGGTGAGATGAACGCACATATCACAAAGAAGTTTCTCAGAAAGCTTCTGTCTAGCTTTTATGTGAAGATATTTCCTTTTAAACCATAGGCCACAATTCGCTCCAAATATCCACTTGCAGATTTATCAAAAAGACTGTTTCAAAACCCTCAATCAAAAGAAAGTTTCAACACTGTGAGATGAATGCACACACTAAAAAGAAGTTTCTCCGAATGCTTCTGTCTAGTTTTTATGTGAAGATATTTCCTTTTCCACCACAGGCCTGAAAGCACTCCAAATATTCACTTGCAGATTCTACAAAAAGAGTATTTCAAAACAGCTCCATCAAAAGAATGGTTCCGCTTGGTGAGATGAATGCACACATCACAAAGAAGTTTCTCAGAGTGCTTCTGTCTAGTTTTTACGTGAAGATATTTCCTTTTCCACCATAGACCACAAATCGCTCCAAATATCCACTTGCATATACAACAAAAAGAGTGTTTCAAAACTGCTCAATCAAAAGAAAGGTTCAACTCTGTGAGATGAATGCACACATCACAAAGTAGTTTCTCAGATTGCTTCTGTCTAGTTTTTATGTGAAGATATTTATTTTCCACCATAGGCCGCAAAGCGCTCCAAATATTCACTTGCAGATTCTAGAAAAAGAGTGTTTCAAAAGGCTAAATGAAAAGAAAGGTTCAACTCTGTGATATATATGCACACGTCACAAAGAAGTTTCTCAGAATGCTTCTGTCTACTATTTATGTGAAGGTATTTCCTTTTCCAAAATATGCCCCAAAGCGCTCCTATTATCCACAGGCAGATTCTACAAAAAGAGTGTCTCAAAACTTCTCAATCAAAAGAAAATTTCAACCCTGTGAGATGAATGCAAACATCACAAAGAAGTTTCTCAGAATGCTTCTGTCTAGTTTTTAAGTGAAGATATTTCCTTTTCCTCCATAGGCCTCAAAGCGCTCCAAATATCCTCTAGCAGATTCCACAAAAGAGTGTTTCAAAACTGCTTAATCAAAAGAAATGTTCAACTCTGTGAGAGGAATGCACACATCACAAATAAGTTTCTCAGAATGTTTCCTCTAGTTTTTATGTGAAGATATTTCCTTTTCCACCATAGTCCTCAAAGTGCTCCAAATATCCACTGGCTGATTCTCCGAAAAGAGCATTTCAAAACTGCTCAATCAAAAGAAATTTTCAATCTGTGAGATGAATGTGCACATCACAAAGAAGTTTGTCAGAATGCTTCCGTGTAGCTTTTATGTGAATTTATTCCCTTTTCCACAATAGGCCTCAAGTGGCTCCAAATGTCCACTTGCAGATTCTACAAAAAGAGAGTTTCAAAACTGCTCAGTCAAAAGAAATGTTAAACTCTCTCTGATGAATGCACACATCACAAAGAAGTTTCTCAGAATGCTTCCATCAAGTTTTTATGTGGAGATATTTCCTTTCTAGCATCGACCCCTAAGCACTCCAAATATCCACTTACAGATCCTTCAAAAAGTGTGTTTCAAAACTGCTGAATCAAAAGAAAGGTTCAACTCTGTGAGTTGAATGCACATATCAGAAAGAAGTTTCTCAGAATGCTTCTGTCTCGTTTATATGTGAAGGTATTTCCTTTTCCGTCAAACTCATCAAAGCGTTCCAAATATTCACTTGCACATTCTACAAAAAGAGTGTATCAAATCTGCTCAAGGAAAAGAATGGTTCAATTTGGTGAGATAAATGAACACATCACGAGGAAGTTTTGCAGAATGCTTCTGTCTAGTTTTTCTGTGAAAATATTGCCTTTACTACCATAGGACACAATCGCTCCAAATATCTATTTCAGATTCAAAAAAAAGGGTGTTTCAATATTGCTCGATGAAAGGAAAGATTCAACCCGGTGAGATGAACGCACATATCACAAAGAAGTTTCTCAGAAAGCTTCTGTCTAGCTTTTATGTGAAGATATTTCCTTTTAAACCATAGGCCACAATTCGCTCCAAATATCCACTTGCAGATTTATCAAAAAGACTGTTTCAAAACCCTCAATCAAAAGAAAGTTTCAACACTGTGAGATGAATGCACACACTAAAAAGAAGTTTCTCCGAATGCTTCTGTCTAGTTTTTATGTGAAGATATTTCCTTTTCCACCACAGGCCTGAAAGCACTCCAAATATTCACTTGCAGATTCTACAAAAAGAGTATTTCAAAACAGCTCCATCAAAAGAATGGTTCCGCTTGGTGAGATGAATGCACACATCACAAAGAAGTTTCTCAGAGTGCTTCTGTCTAGTTTTTACGTGAAGATATTTCCTTTTCCACCATAGACCACAAATCGCTCCAAATATCCACTTGCATATACAACAAAAAGAGTGTTTCAAAACTGCTCAATCAAAAGAAAGGTTCAACTCTGTGAGATGAATGCACACATCACAAAGTAGTTTCTCAGATTGCTTCTGTCTAGTTTTTATGTGAAGATATTTATTTTCCACCATAGGCCGCAAAGCGCTCCAAATATTCACTTGCAGATTCTAGAAAAAGAGTGTTTCAAAAGGCTAAATGAAAAGAAAGGTTCAACTCTGTGATATATATGCACACGTCACAAAGAAGTTTCTCAGAATGCTTCTGTCTACTATTTATGTGAAGGTATTTCCTTTTCCAAAATATGCCCCAAAGCGCTCCTATTATCCACAGGCAGATTCTACAAAAAGAGTGTCTCAAAACTTCTCAATCAAAAGAAAATTTCAACCCTGTGAGATGAATGCAAACATCACAAAGAAGTTTCTCAGAATGCTTCTGTCTAGTTTTTAAGTGAAGATATTTCCTTTTCCTCCATAGGCCTCAAAGCGCTCCAAATATCCTCTAGCAGATTCCACAAAAGAGTGTTTCAAAACTGCTTAATCAAAAGAAATGTTCAACTCTGTGAGAGGAATGCACACATCACAAATAAGTTTCTCAGAATGTTTCCTCTAGTTTTTATGTGAAGATATTTCCTTTTCCACCATAGTCCTCAAAGTGCTCCAAATATCCACTGGCTGATTCTCCGAAAAGAGCATTTCAAAACTGCTCAATCAAAAGAAATTTTCAATCTGTGAGATGAATGTGCACATCACAAAGAAGTTTGTCAGAATGCTTCCGTGTAGCTTTTATGTGAATTTATTCCCTTTTCCACAATAGGCCTCAAGTGGCTCCAAATGTCCACTTGCAGATTCTACAAAAAGAGAGTTTCAAAACTGCTCAGTCAAAAGAAATGTTAAACTCTCTCTGATGAATGCACACATCACAAAGAAGTTTCTCAGAATGCTTCCATCAAGTTTTTATGTGGAGATATTTCCTTTCTAGCATCGACCCCTAAGCACTCCAAATATCCACTTACAGATCCTTCAAAAAGTGTGTTTCAAAACTGCTGAATCAAAAGAAAGGTTCAACTCTGTGAGTTGAATGCACATATCAGAAAGAAGTTTCTCAGAATGCTTCTGTCTCGTTTATATGTGAAGGTATTTCCTTTTCCGTCAAACTCATCAAAGCGTTCCAAATATTCACGTGCACATTCTACAAAAAGAGTGTATCAAATCTGCTCAAGGAAAAGAATGGTTCAATTTGGTGAGATAAATGAACACATCACGAGGAAGTTTTGCAGAATGCTTCTGTCTAGTTTTTCTGTGAAAATATTGCCTTTACTACCATAGGACACAATCGCTCCAAATATCTATTTCAGATTCAAAAAAAAGGGTGTTTCAATATTGCTCGATGAAAGGAAAGATTCAACCCGGTGAGATGAACGCACATATCACAAAGAAGTTTCTCAGAAAGCTTCTGTCTAGCTTTTATGTGAAGATATTTCCTTTTAAACCATAGGCCACAATTCGCTCCAAATATCCACTTGCAGATTTATCAAAAAGACTGTTTCAAAACCCTCAATCAAAAGAAAGTTTCAACACTGTGAGATGAATGCACACACTAAAAAGAAGTTTCTCCGAATGCTTCTGTCTAGTTTTTATGTGAAGATATTTCCTTTTCCACCACAGGCCTGAAAGCACTCCAAATATTCACTTGCAGATTCTACAAAAAGAGTATTTCAAAACAGCTCCATCAAAAGAATGGTTCCGCTTGGTGAGATGAATGCACACATCACAAAGAAGTTTCTCAGAGTGCTTCTGTCTAGTTTTTACGTGAAGATATTTCCTTTTCCACCATAGACCACAAATCGCTCCAAATATCCACTTGCATATACAACAAAAAGAGTGTTTCAAAACTGCTCAATCAAAAGAAAGGTTCAACTCTGTGAGATGAATGCACACATCACAAAGTAGTTTCTCAGATTGCTTCTGTCTAGTTTTTATGTGAAGATATTTATTTTCCACCATAGGCCGCAAAGCGCTCCAAATATTCACTTGCAGATTCTAGAAAAAGAGTGTTTCAAAAGGCTAAATGAAAAGAAAGGTTCAACTCTGTGATATATATGCACACGTCACAAAGAAGTTTCTCAGAATGCTTCTGTCTACTATTTATGTGAAGGTATTTCCTTTTCCAAAATATGCCCCAAAGCGCTCCTATTATCCACAGGCAGATTCTACAAAAAGAGTGTCTCAAAACTTCTCAATCAAAAGAAAATTTCAACCCTGTGAGATGAATGCAAACATCACAAAGAAGTTTCTCAGAATGCTTCTGTCTAGTTTTTAAGTGAAGATATTTCCTTTTCCTCCATAGGCCTCAAAGCGCTCCAAATATCCTCTAGCAGATTCCACAAAAGAGTGTTTCAAAACTGCTTAATCAAAAGAAATGTTCAACTCTGTGAGAGGAATGCACACATCACAAATAAGTTTCTCAGAATGTTTCCTCTAGTTTTTATGTGAAGATATTTCCTTTTCCACCATAGTCCTCAAAGTGCTCCAAATATCCACTGGCTGATTCTCCGAAAAGAGCATTTCAAAACTGCTCAATCAAAAGAAATTTTCAATCTGTGAGATGAATGTGCACATCACAAAGAAGTTTGTCAGAATGCTTCCGTGTAGCTTTTATGTGAATTTATTCCCTTTTCCACAATAGGCCTCAAGTGGCTCCAAATGTCCACTTGCAGATTCTACAAAAAGAGAGTTTCAAAACTGCTCAGTCAAAAGAAATGTTAAACTCTCTCTGATGAATGCACACATCACAAAGAAGTTTCTCAGAATGCTTCCATCAAGTTTTTATGTGGAGATATTTCCTTTCTAGCATCGACCCCTAAGCACTCCAAATATCCACTTACAGATCCTTCAAAAAGTGTGTTTCAAAACTGCTGAATCAAAAGAAAGGTTCAACTCTGTGAGTTGAATGCACATATCAGAAAGAAGTTTCTCAGAATGCTTCTGTCTCGTTTATATGTGAAGGTATTTCCTTTTCCGTCAAACTCATCAAAGCGTTCCAAATATTCACTTGCACATTCTACAAAAAGAGTGTATCAAATCTGCTCAAGGAAAAGAATGGTTCAATTTGGTGAGATAAATGAACACATCACGAGGAAGTTTTGCAGAATGCTTCTGTCTAGTTTTTCTGTGAAAATATTGCCTTTACTACCATAGGACACAATCGCTCCAAATATCTATTTCAGATTCAAAAAAAAGGGTGTTTCAATATTGCTCGATGAAAGGAAAGATTCAACCCGGTGAGATGAACGCACATATCACAAAGAAGTTTCTCAGAAAGCTTCTGTCTAGCTTTTATGTGAAGATATTTCCTTTTAAACCATAGGCCACAATTCGCTCCAAATATCCACTTGCAGATTTATCAAAAAGACTGTTTCAAAACCCTCAATCAAAAGAAAGTTTCAACACTGTGAGATGAATGCACACACTAAAAAGAAGTTTCTCCGAATGCTTCTGTCTAGTTTTTATGTGAAGATATTTCCTTTTCCACCACAGGCCTGAAAGCACTCCAAATATTCACTTGCAGATTCTACAAAAAGAGTATTTCAAAACAGCTCCATCAAAAGAATGGTTCCGCTTGGTGAGATGAATGCACACATCACAAAGAAGTTTCTCAGAGTGCTTCTGTCTAGTTTTTACGTGAAGATATTTCCTTTTCCACCATAGACCACAAATCGCTCCAAATATCCACTTGCATATACAACAAAAAGAGTGTTTCAAAACTGCTCAATCAAAAGAAAGGTTCAACTCTGTGAGGTGAAGGCACTTATCACAGAGAAGTTTCTCAGAATGCTTCTGTCTAGTTTATATGTGAAGATATTTCCTTTTCCAAGATAGACCTCAAACCGCTTCAAATATCCATTTACAGATACTACAAAAAGAGTGTTTCAAAACTCTTCAATCAAAAGAAAGGTTCAAAGCTGTGAGTTGAATGCACAGATCACCAAAAGTTTCTCAGAATGCTTCTGTCTAGTTTTTATATGAAGATAGTTCCATTTCCACAATAGGCCCCAAAACGCTCTAAATATCCCCTTGCAGATATTACAAAAAGTTTTTTTAAAAACTACTAAATCTTCTTAATCCAGTCTATATACACTATGGAATACTATGCAGCCATAAAAAATGATGAGTTCATAACCTTTTTAAGGACATGGATGAAATTGGAAGTCATCATTCTCAGTAAACTATCACAAGAACAAAAAACCAAACACCGCATATTCTCACTCATAGGTGGGAATTGAACAATGAGATCTCATGGACACAGGAAGGGGAACATCACACTCTGGGGACTGTTGTGGGATGGGAGGAGGGGGGAGGGATAGCATTGGGATATATACCTAATGCTAGATGACGAGTTAGTGGGTGCAGCGCACCAGCATGGCACATGTATACATATGTAACTAACCTGCACAATGTGCATATGTACCCTAAAACTGAAAGTATAATAATAATAATAACTTCTCAATCAAAAGAAATGTTCAACTTTTTGAGATGAACGCACACATCACAAAGAAGTTTCTCAGAATGCTTCTATTTTTTTATGTGAAGATATTTCCTTTTCCAAAATAGGCCAGAAAGGTCTGCAAATATCCACTTGCAGATTTTACAAAAAGAGAGAATCAAAACTTCTCAATCAAAAGATAGGTTCAGCTGTGTGAGTCGAATGCAGACATCACAAAAAAGTTTCTGAGAATGCTTCTGTGTAGTTTTTATGTGAAGATATTTCCTTTTCCACCATAGGCCTCAAAGCGCTCCAAGTATCCACTTGCAGATTCTACAATGAGTGTGTCCAAACTGGTCAATCAAAAGAAAGGATCAACCCTCTGAGATGAATACACACATCACAAAGAAGTTTCTCAGAATGCTTCTGTGTAGTTTTTATGTGAAGATATTTTCTTTTCCACAACAGGCCACAAAGCACTCCAAATATACACGTCCAAATTCTGCAAAAAGAGTGTTTCCAAACTGCTCAATCAAAATAAAGGTTCAACTCTGTGAGATGAGTGCACACATCAAAAAGAAGTTTCTCAGAATGCTTCTTTGTAGTTTTTATGTGAGGATGTTTCCTTTTCCACCATAGGTCTAAATGTGCTCCAAATATCCACTTGCAGATTCTACAAAAAGAGTGATTAAAAACTGCTCAATCATAGGATAGATTCAACTCGGTGAGATGAATGCACACATCCCAAATAAGTTTCTCAGAATGCTTCTGTGTAGTTTCTATGTGAAGATATTTCCTTTCCCACCAAAGATCTCAAAGCGCTAAAAATATCCCCTTGGAGATTATACAAAAAGAGTGTTACCAAACTGCTCAATAAAAAGAAAGGTTCAACTCTGTGTGATGAATGCACACGTCACAAAGTAGTTTCTCACAATGCTTCTTTGCAGTTTTTATGTAAAGATATTTCCTTTTCCACAATAGGCCTCAAAGTGCTCGAAACATTGACTTGCACATTCTACAAAACGAGTGTTTCAAAACTGCTTAATCAAAAGAAAGGTTCAGCTTTGTGAGATTAATGCACACAACACAAAGAAGTTTCTCAGAATTATTTTGTGTGGTTTTTATGTGAAGATATTTCCTTTTTCACACTTGGCTGCACAACACACCAAATATCCACTTACAGAATCTGCAAAGATAGAGTTTCAAAACTGCTCTATAAAAAGATAGGCTCAACCCGGTGACTTGAATGCACACATCTCAAAGTGGTGTCTCAGAATGCTTCTGCGTACTTTTTATGTAAAGATATTTCCTTGTACACCATTCGCCACAAAGTGCTCCAAACATCCACCTGCAGATGTTACAAAAAGAGTGTTTCCAAACTGATCAATGAAAAGAAAGGTTCAACTCTATGAGACGAATTCACATATGATGAAGAAGTTTCTCACAATACTTTGGTGTAGTTTTTATGTGAAGATATTTCCTTTTCCAAAATAGGCCTTAAAGGGCTCCAAATATCACCTTGCAGATTCTACAAAAAGGGGGTTTCAAAAGTGCGCAATCAAAAGAGAGGTTCAACTCTTTAAGGGGAATGCACACATCACAAAGAAGTTTCTCAGAATGCTTCTATGTAGTTTTTATGTGAAGATATTTCCTTTTCCACAGTAGGCCTCAAAGGGTTACAAATATACACTTGCAGATTCTACAAAAAGAGTGTTTCAAAACTGTTCAATCAAAAGAAAGGTTCAAGTCTGTGAGTTGAATGCACACATCATAAAGAAGTTTCTCAGAATGCTTCTGTGCAGTTTTTATGTGAAGATATTTCCTTTTCCACAATTTGCCTCAAAGTGCTCCAAATATCCACCTGCAGATTCTGTAAAGATTGTTTCCAAACTGCTCAAATAAAAGAAAGGTTCAACTTTGTGAGATTAATGCACTCATCACAAAGTAGTTTATCAGAATGCTTCTGTGTCAGTTTTTATGTGAAGATATTTTCTTCTCCACAGTAGGCCTCAAAGTGTTTCAAATATCCATTTGCAGATTCTACAAAAAGAGAGTTTCCAAACTGTTCAGTCTAAAGAAAGGTTCAACTCTGTGAGATGAATGCGCACATCACAAAGAAGTTTCTCAGAGTGCTTCTGTGTAGTTTTTTTTTTTTTTTTTTTTTTTTTTTTTTGAGACGGAGTCTCGCTCTGTCGCCCAGGCTGGAGTGCAGTGGCGGGATCTCGGCTCACTGCAAGCTCCGCCTCCCAAATTCACGCCATTCTCCTGCCTCAGCCTCCCAAGTAGCTGGGACTACAGGCGCCCGCCACTACGCCCGGCTAGTTTTTTGTATTTTTAGTAGAGACGGGGTTTCACCGTTTTAGCCGGGATGGTCTCGATCTCCTGACCTCGTGATCCGCCCGCCTCGGCCTCCCAAAGTGCTGGGATTACAGGCGTGAGACACCGCGCCCGGCCTTCTGTGTAGTTTTTATGTGAAGGTATTTCCTTTTACACAGTAGGCCACAAAGGGCTCCAAATATTCACTTGCAGATTCTCCAAAAAGAGAGTTTCTAAAATCCTCTATCAATAGATAGGTACAACTCTGTGAGTTGAGTGCACACATCACAAGGAAGTTTCTCAGAATGCTTCTGTGTAGTTTTTATGTGAAGATATTTCAATTGCCACAATAGTCCTCAAAGCGCTCTAAATATCCACTTTTAGATTCTACTAAAAGAGTGTTTTCAAACTGCTCAATCAAAAGAATGTTAAAACACCGTGAGATGAATGCAAAAATCACAAAGAAGTTTCTCAGAATGCTTCTGTTTAGTTTTCATGTGTATATTTCCTTTTCCACAATGGGCCTCAAAGCGCTCTGTGAGATGAATGCACACGTCACAAGACATTTCCCAGAATGATTCTGTGTACTTTTCCTGTGAAGATATTTCCTTTTCCACAATAGTCTTCAAAGCTCTCCAAATATCCACTTGCAGATTCTACAAAAAGTGTGTTTCAAAAGTGCTCAATCAAAAGAAATATTCTACTCTGTGTGATGAAAGCTACATCACCAAGAAGTTTCTCAGAATGCTTCCGTGTAGTTTTTATGTGAAGATATTTCCTTTTACACCATATGCCATGAACGGCTCCAAATATTCAATTGCATATTCTACAAAAAGAGTGTTTTCAAACTGCTCAATCAAAGGAAAGGCTCAACTCTGTGAGATGAATGCACACGTCACAAATAAGTTTCTCAGAATGCTTCTGTGTAGTTTCTATCTGAAGATATTCCCTTTTCAACTGCAGGCCACAAACGGCTCCAAATACCCACTTCCAGATTCTACAAAAAGAGAGTTTCAAAACTGCTCAATCAACAGATATGTTCAACTCTGTGATTTGAATGCATATATCACAAAAAAGTTTCTCAGAATCCTTCTTTGTAGGTTTTATGTGAAGATATTTCCTTTTCAAAACTAGGCCTGAAAGCCCTCCAAATATCCACTTGCAGATTCTAAAAAAGGAGTTTTTCCAAACTGCTAAATCAAAAGAAAGTTTCAACTCTGTGAAATGAAAGCACACATAATCAAGAAGTTTCTCAGAATGCAACTGTGTAGTTTTTATGTGAAAATATCTCCTTTTCCACCATAGGCCTCAAAGTGCTCCAAATATCCAATTGCAGATTATACAAAAAGAGTGTTTCAAAACTGATCAATGAAAATAAATTTTCAACACTATGAGCGGAATGCTCACATCACAAAGATTATCAGATTTCCTGTGTGTACTTTTTATATGAAGATATTTCCTTTTCCACAATAGGCCCCAAAATCCTCCAAATATCCACTTGCAGATTCTACAAAAAGAGTATTTTAAAATTGCTCAATCAAAAGTAAGTTTCAACTATGAGAGATGAATGCACACATCACAAAGTAGTTTCTCAGAATGCTTCTGTGTAGTTTTTATGTGAAGATATTTCCTTTCCCACGATAGGCCTCAAAGGGCTCCAAATATCCACTTGCAGATTCTACAAAAAGAGTGTTTCAGAACTGCTCAAGAAAAAGATAGGTTCAACTCTGTGAGTTGAATATACACATCACAAAGTAGTTTCTCAGAATGCTTCTGTGTAGTTTTTATTTGAAGATATTTCCTTTTCCATGATACTCCTCAAAGCACTCCAAATATTCACTTGCAGATACTACAAAAGGAGTGTTTCAAAACTGCTCAATCAAAAGAAAGGTTCAACTCTGTCAGATGAAAGCACACATCACAAAGAGTTTTCTCAGAATGCTTCTGTGTAGTTTTTATGTGAAGATATTTTCTTTCCATCATAGGATGCAAAGGGCTCCAAATATCCACTTACAGATTCTACAAAGGAGAGATTCAAAACTGTTCAATTAAAAGATAGGTTCAACTCTGTGAGATGAATGCACACATAAGAAAGAAGTTTCTCAGAATGTTTCTCTGTAGTTTTTCTGTGAAGATATTTCTTTTTCCACAATAGGCTTCAAAGCACTCAAAATATCCACTTGCATTTTCTACAAAAAGAGTGTTTCAAAACTGCTCAATCAAAAAAAATTTTCAATTCTGTGAGATGAATGCACACACAACAAAGAGGCTTCTCAGAATGCTTCTGTGTTGTTTTTATATGAAGATATTTCCTTTTCCACCATAGGCTGCAAAGAGCTCCAAATATCCCCTTGCATGTCCTACAAAAAGGGAGTTGCCAAACTGCTCTATCAAAAGATAGGTTCAACTCTGTGAATTGAATGCACACATCACTGAGAAGAATCTCAGAATGTTTCTGTGTAGTTTTCATGTGAAGATATTTCCTTTTCCACCGTAAGCCTCAAAGCCCTCCAAATATCCACTTGCAGATTCTACAAAAGGAGTGTTTCCAAACTGCTCAATCAAAAGAATTTTAACTCTGTGAGATGAATGCACACATCACAACAAAGTTTCTCAGAATGCTTCTGTGTAATTTTTAACTGAAGATATTTCCTTTTCCACAATAGCCCTCAAAGCGCTCCAAATATCCACTTGAAGATTCTACCAAAAGAGTATTTCAAAACTACTTAATCAAAAGAATGCTTCAACTCCGTGTGATGAATGCACACATCACAAAGAAGTTTCTCAGAATGCTACTGTGTAGTTTTTATGTGAAGATATTTCCTTTTCCAACACAAGCCGCAAATGTCTTCAAATATCCACTTTCAGGTTCTACAAAAAGAGATATTCAAAACTGCTCAATCAAAAGGTAGGTTCGACTCTATGAGTTGAATGCATACATCACAAAGTAGTCTCTCAGAATGCTTCTGTGTAGTTTTTATGTGAAGATATTTCCTTTTACACCATAGGCCTCAAAGCGCTCCAAATATCCACCTGGAGATTCCAAAAAAAGAGAGATTCAAAACTGCTCAACAAGATAGGTTCAACTCCGAAAGTTGAATGCACACATCACAAATAAGTTTCTAAGAATGCTTCTGTGTATTTTTTATGTGAAGAAATTTCCTTTTCCTCAGTACGCCTTACAGCACTGCAAATATCTACCTGCAGATCGCACTAAAAGAGTATTTCAGAAGTGCACAATCCAAAGAAAGGTTCACCTCTGTGAAATGAATTCACACATCACAAAAAGTATCTCAGACTGTTCCTCTGTAGTTTTTATGTGAAGATATTTCCTTTTACGCAATAGCCGTCAAACGCGCCAAATATCCACTTGAAGATTCTACAAAAAGAGTATTTCAAAACTGCTTAATCAAAAGAATGCTTCAACTCTGTCAGATGAATGCACACGTCACAAAGAAGTTTCTCCGATGCTTCTGTGTAGTTTTTATGTGAAGATATTTCCTTTTCCACTGTAGGCTGCAAAAAGCTCCAAATATCCACTTGGAGATTCTACAAAAAGAATGTTTCCAAACTGCTCAATCAAAAGAATGATACAATTCTGTGAATTGAATGCACACATCACGAAGAAGTTTCTCAGAATTCTACTGTGTAGTTTCTAAGTGAAGATATTTTCTTTTCAACAATAGGCCTCAAAGCATTCCAATTATCCACTTGCGGAATCTACAAAAAGACTGTTACAAAACTGCTCAATGAAAAGAATTGTTCAACTCAGTGGGAGGAATGCACACATCACAAAGAAGTTTCTCAGAATGTTTATGTGTAATTTTTATGTGAAGATATTTCCTTTTCAGCAATAGGCCTCAAAGCGCTCCAAATATCTACTTGCAGATTCTACAAAAAGTGTTTTTCAAAACTGCTCAATCAAAGCAAAGGTTCAACTCTGTGAGATGAATGCCCACATCACAAAGAAGTTTCTCAGAATGCTTCTGTGTAGTTTTCATGTGAAGATATTTCGTTTTCCACAATAGGCCTCAAAGCCCCCCAAATATCCACTTGAATGTTCTACTAAAAGCATGTTATAAAGCTGCTGAATCAAAAGAAAAGTTCAACTCTGTGAGATGAATGCACACATCAAAATAAAGTATCTCAGAATGATTCTGTGTAGTTTTTGATGAAGATACTTCCTTTTCCACAAAAGAACTCAAAGCACTCCAAACATCCAATTCCAGATTGTACAAAAAGAGAGATTCAAAACTGCTCAATCAAAAGGTAGGTTCAACTGTGTGAGTTGAATGCACACATCACAAAGAAGTTTCTCAGAATGCTTCTGTACAGTTTTTATGTGAAGATTCATGCTTTTACAAAATAGGCCTTGAAGCGCACCAAATATCCACTTGTAGATTCTACAAAAAGAGTGTTTCCAAACTGCTCAATCAAAAGCAAGTTTCAACTCTGTGAGATGAATGCACGTAACACAAAGTAGTTTCTCAGAATGCTTCTGTGTATTTTTTGTGTGAAGATATTTCCTTTTCCACAATAGGCCTCAAAGCCCCCCAAATATCCACTTGAAGATTCTACAAAAAGAGGGTTTTAAAACTGCTCAATCAAAAGAAAGTTTCAACTCTGTGTGATGAATGCACACATCACAAAAAAGTTTCTCAGAATCCTTCTGTGTAGTTTTTCTGTGAAGATATTTCCTTTTCCTCAATAGCCCTCAAAGCGCTCCAAATATTCACTTGAAGATTCTACAAAAAGAGTATTCCAAAACTGCTTAATCAAAAGAATGCTTCAACTCCGTGTGATGAATGCACACATCACAAAGAAGTTTCTCAGAATGCCACTGTGTAGTGTTTATGTGAAGATATTTCCTTTTTCACCATAGGCTGCTATGCGGTCCAAATATCCACCTGCAGAGTTTACAAAAGGACAGTTTCAAAACTTCTCAATCAAAAGATAGGTTCAACTATGTGAGTTGAATGCACACATTACAAAGAAGTTTCCCAGAATGTTTCTGTGTAGTTTTTATGTAAAGATATTTCCTTTCTCAAATAGGCCTCAAAGCCCTGTAAATATGCACTTCCAGATTCTACAAAAGAGTGTTTCAAAGCTGCTCAATCGAAGGAAAATTTCAACTCTTTGTGATGTATGCACTCATCACAAAGTAGTTTCTGTGAATGCTTCTGTGTAGTTTTTATGTGAAGATATTTCCTTTTACACAACTCCAAATATCCGCTTACAGATTCTACAAAAAGAGAGTTTCAAAACTGCTCAATCAAGAGATAGGTTCACCCCTGTGAGCTGAATGCACACATCAGAAAGAAGTTTCTGAAAATGTTTCTGTGTAGTTTTTATGTGAAGATATTTCCTTTTCCAACATAGGCCTCAAAGAGATCGAATTATCCACCTGAAAATTCTACAAAAATTGTGTTTCCAAACTGTTCAATTAAAAGAAAGGTTCAACCCTGTGAGATGAATGCACACATCACAAGGAAGTTTCTCAGAATGATTCTGTGTAGTTTTTATGTGAAGATGTTTCCCTTTACACAATAGGCCTCAAAGGGCTCCAAATATCCAGTTGAAGATTATACAAAAAGAGTGTGTCCAATCTGCTGAATCAAAAGAAAAGTTCAGCTCTGTGAGACAAAAGTACACATCACAAAGAAGTTTCTCAGAATGCTTCTGTGTAGTTTTTATGTGAAGATATTTCCTTTTCCACCATAGGCCGCCAAGGTCTCCAAGTATCCACTTTCAGATTTTACAAAAAGAGAGATACAAAAGTGCTCAATCAAAAGATAGATTCAAAACTGTGAGTTGAATGCACACTTAACAATGAAGTTTCTCAGAATACTTCTGTGTAGTTTTTATGTGAAGATATTTCCTTTTACACAATACGCCTCAAAGCACTAAAAATATACACTTGCAGATTCTACAAAAATAGTGTTTCAAAACTGCTCAATCAAAAGAAAGTTTCAACTCTGTGAGGTGAATGCCCACATCACAAAGAAGTTTCTCAGAATGTTTATGTGTAGTTTTTATGTGAAGATATTTACTTTTCCAATGTCAGCCTCAAAGTGCCACAAATATCAACTTACAGATTCGCAAAAACAGTGTTTCAAAACCGCTTAATGAAAAACTAGGTTCATCTTTGTGAGATGAATGCACACATCACAAAGAAGTTTCTCAGAATGCTTCTGTGTAGTTTTTATGGGAAGATAATTCCTGTTCCAAAATAGGCCTCAAAGCCTTCCAGATATCCACTTGCAGACTCTACAAAAAGTGTGTTTCATAACTGTTCAGTGAAAGAAATTTTCAACTCTGTGTGGTGAATGGACTCATCACAAAGTAGTTTCTCAGAATGCTTCTGTGTAGTTTTTTTGTGAAGATATTTCCTTTATCACAAGAGGCCACAAAGGGCTCCTAATATCCACTTGCAGATTCTACAAAAAGAGAGATTCAAAACTACTCAATCAAAAGATAGGTTCAACTCTGTGTGATTAATGCACTCATCACAAAGAAGTTTCTCAGAATGCTTCTGTGCAGTTTTTATGTGAAGATACATGCTTTTCCACAATAGTCCTCAAAGTGCTCCAAATTTCCACTTGCAGATTCTATAAAAAGATTGTTTCAAAAGTGCTCAATCATAAGATAGGTTCAACTCTGTGAGATGAATGCACACATCAAAAATAAGTTTCTCAGAATGCTTCTGTGTAGTTTTTACTTGAAGATACTTCCTTTTCCACCTTATGCTGTAAAGGGCTCCAAATATCCACTTGTAGATTCTTCAAAAAGAGAGAGTCAAAACTGCTCAATCAAAAGATAGATTTAACTATGTGAGTTGAATGCATATATCATAAAGATGTGTCTCAGAATGCTTCTGTGTAATTTTTATATGAAGATATATCCTTTTCCACAATAGGTTTCAAAGCCCTCAAAATACCCACTTGCACATTCTACAAAAAGAGTGTTTCAAAACTATTCAACCAAAGAAAGATTCACCTCTGCGAGTTGAATGCACACATCACGAAGAAGTTTCTCAGAATGCTTCTGTGCAGTTTTTATTTGAAGATATTTCCTTTTCCTCCATAGGCTGCAAAGGGCTACATATATCCACTTGCAGATTCTACAAACAGAGAGATTCAAAACTGCTCAATCAAAAGATAGGTTCAAACTTGTGAGTTGAATGCACACATCACAATGTAGTTTCTCAGAATGCTTCTGTGTATTTTTTATGTGAAGATCTTTACTTTTCCACAATAGGCCTCAAAGCACTCCAACTATCCACTTGCAGATACTACAAAAAGAGTGTTTCAAAACTTCTCAATCAAAAGAAAGGTTCAACTCTTTGAGATGAATGCGCCCATCACAAAGAAGTTTCTCAGAATGCCTCTGTGTAGTTTTTATTTGAAGATATTTGCTTTTCTGCAGTAGGCCTCAAAACACTCCAAATATCCAGTTGCGGATTCTACAAAAACAGTGTTTCAAAAGTGCTCAGTCAAATAAAAGTTTAACTCTGTGAGATGAATGCACACATCACAAAGAAGTTTCTGAGAATACTTCTGTGTAGTTTTTATATGAAGAATTTCCTTTTCCACAATAGGCCTCAAAGTGCTCCAAATATCCACTTGCAGATTCTACAAAGAGAGTGTATCAAAACTGCTCAATCATAACATAGGTTCCACACAGTGAGATGAATGCACACATAACAAAGAAGTTTCTCAGAATGCATCTGTGTTGTTTATATTTTTAGATATTTCCTTTACCTGCATAGGCTGCAAAGGGCTCAAAATATCCACCTGCAGATTCTACAAAAAGAGAGATTCAAAACTGCTCCATCAAAAGAAAGGTTCAACTCTGTGAGATGAAGGCACACATCACAAAGAAGTTTCTCAGAATGCTTCTGTGTAGTTTTCATGTGAAGATATTGCTTTTCCACTGTAGCCCTCAAACAGCTCCAAATATCCACTTGCAGATTCTTCAAAAGCAGTGTTTCAAAACAGCTCAATCAAAATAAACATTCAACTCTGTGAAATGAATGCACACATCACAAAGAAGTTTCTCAGAATTCTTCTGTGCAGTTTTTATGTGAAATTATTTCCTTTTCCACCACAGGCTGCAAAGGGCTCAAAATATCCCCTTGCAGATTCTACAATAAGAGAGATTGAAAACTGCACAATCGAAAGATAGGTTCAACTCTCCTAGTTGAATGCACACAGCACAAAGAATTTTCTCAGAATGCTTCTGTGTAGTTTTCTTTGGAAGATATTTCCTTTTCCACCATAGGCCCCAAACTCTCTAAATATCCACTAGCAGATTCTACAAAAAGAGTGTTTCCAAACTGCTCAGTCAAAAGAAAGGTTCAACTCTGTGAGATGAATGCAAACATCGCCTAGAAGTTTCTCAGAATGCTTCTGTGTAATTTTTATGTGAAGATATTTTCTTTTCCTAAATAGTCCTCAAAGCACCGCAAATATCCACTTGCAGATCCTACAAAAAGAGTGTTCCAAACCTGTTCAATCAAAAGAAAGGTTCAATTCTAGGAGATGACTTCACACATCACAAAGCAGTTTCTCAGAATGCTTCTGTGTAGTTTTTATATGAAGATACTTGTTTTTCCACAATAGGTCTCCAAGCGCTCCAAATATCCACTTGCAGATTCTACAAAAACAGTGTTTCATAACTGCTAAATCGAAAGAAATGTTCAACTATTTGAGATGAATATACACATCACAAAGGAGTTTCTCAGAATGCTTCTGTGTAGTTTTTATGTGAAGATATTTCCTTTTCCACAATAGGCCACAAAGCGCTCAAAATATCCATTTGCTGATTCTACAAACATAGAGTTTCAAAAAACTGCTCAATCATAAGATAGGTTCAACTCTGTGAGATGAATGCTGACATAACAAAGATGTTTCTCAGAATGTTTCTGTGTAGTTTTTATTTGAAGATATTTCCTTTTCCAAAATAGGCAACAAAGGGCTCTAAATATCCACTTGCAGATTCCACAAAAAGAAAAATTCAAAACTCCTCAATCAAAAAACAGGTTGAACTCTGTGAGTTGAATGCACACATCACAAAGACGTTTCTCAGAATGCTTCTGTGTAGTTCTTATGTGAAGATATTTCCTTTTACACAGGAGACCTCAAAGGCCTCCACATATCCACTTGCAGATTCTACAAAAAATGTGTTGCAAAATTGCTCAATCAAAAGAAAGGTTCAACTCTATGAGATGAATGCACACATCACAAAAAAGATTCTCAGAATGTTTCTTTGTAGTTTTTATGTGAAGATATTTGCTTTTCCACAGTAGGCCTCAAAATGCTCCAAATATACAGTTGCAGATTCTACAAAGAGGGTGTTTCCAAACTGCTAAATCATAAGATACGTTCAACTCTGTGAGGTGAATGCACACATCACAAAGAAGTTTCTCAGAATGCTTCTGTGTAGTTTTTATGTGAAGGTATTTCCCTTTACACAATGGGCTTCAAAGTGCTCCAAATATCCACTTGCAGATTCAACAAAAAGAGTGTTTCAAAACTGCTCAGTCATAAGATAGGATCAATTCTGTGAAATGAATGCATACATCACAAACAAGTTTCTCAGAATGCTTCTGTGTAGTTTTTATTTGAAGATATTTCCTTTTCCACCCTAGGCTGCAAAGGGCTCCAGGTATCCACTTGCAGATTCTAGAAACAGAGAGATTCAAAACTGCTCAATCAAAGGATAGGTTCGAATCCATAAGATGAATGCACACATCACAAAGAACTTTCTCAGAATGCTTTGCATAGTTTTTACGTGAAGATATTTCCTTTTCCACAATAGGCATCAAAGCGCTCCATATATCCACTTGCAGATTCTACAAAAAGAGTTTTACAAAACTGCTCTATCAAAAGAAAAGTTCAACTCTGTGAGATGAATGCCCACATCACTAAGAAGTTTCTCAGAAGGCTTCTGTGTACTTTTTATGTGAAGATATTTGCTATTCCAAAGTAGACCCCAAAGTGCTCCAAATATGCACTTGCAGATTCTTCAACAAGACTGTTTCAAAACTACTCAATCAAAAGAAGTGTTCAACTCTGTTTGATGAATGCACTCATCACGAAGAAGTTTCTCAGAATGCTTCTGCGAAGCTTTTATTTGAAGATATTTCCTTTTCCTCTATAGGGGGCAAAAGTCTCCAAATATTCAGTTGCAGAATCTACCAAAAGGTAGAGTCAAAACTGCGCAATCAAAAGACAGGTTCAACTCTGTGAGATGAATGTACACATCACAAAGAAGTTTCTCAGAATGCTTCTGTGTAGTTTTCATGTGAAGATATTTCCTTATCCACATTAGGTCTTAAAGCACTCCAATTATCCACTTACAGCTTCTAAAAAGAGAGTGTTTCAAAACTGCTCTATCATAAGATAAGTTCAACTCTGTGAGATGAAAGCACACATCCCAAAGAGGTTTATCAGAATGCTTCTGTGTAGTTTTTATTTGAAGATATTTCCTTTTTCTCCATACACCTCAAAGGGCTCCAAATATCCAATTGCAGATTCTACAAAAAGAGAGATGCAGAACTGCTCAAGCAAAAGATAATTTCAACACTGTGAGTTGAATGCACACAACCAAAGAAGTTTCTCAGAATGCTTCTGTGAAGTTTTTATGTGAAGATATTTCCTTTTCCACCATAGGCCACAAAGGGCTCAAAATATCCACTTGCAGATTTTACAGAAAGAGAAATTCAAAACTGCTCAATCAGAAGGTATGTTGAAATCTGTGAGACGAATGCACTCATCACAAAGAAGTTTCACAGAACGCTTCTGTGTAGTTTTTATGTGAAGATATTTCCTTTTCCACAAAAAACCTCAAAACGCTCCAAATATCCACTTGCAGATTCTACAAAGAGAGTGTTTCAAAACTGCTAAATCATAACATAGGTTCAATTCTGTGAGATGAATGCACACATCCCAAAGAAGTTTCTCAGAATGCTTCTGTGTAGTTTTTATGTTAAGATATTTCCTTTTCCACAATAGGCTTGAAAGCGCTCCAATTATCCACTTGCAGATTCTACAAAAAGAATGCTTCAAAACTGATCAATCATAAGATATGTTCAACTCTGTGAGATGAATGCACACATCACAAAGATATTTCTCAGAAGTATTCTTTGTAGTTTTTATCCAAAGATACTTGCTTTTCCACAGATGGCCTCAAAGCACTCCAAATATCCACTTGCAGATTCAACAAAAACAGTGTTTCAAAACTGCTGAATCATAAGATAGGTCCAACTCTGTGAGATGAATGCACACATCACAAAGAAGTTTCTCAGAATGCTTCTGTGTAGTTTTTAATTGAAGGTATTTCCTTTTCCTCCATGGGCCGCAAAGGGCTCCAAATATCAACTTGCAGCTTCTACAAAAAGAGAGATTCAAAACTGCTCAATCAAAAGATAAGTTCACCTCTGTGATTCTAATGCACACATCACAAAGTAGTTTCTCAGAATGCTTCTGTGTAGTTTTTTTATGTAGATATTTCGTTTTCCACAATAGACCTCAAAGCTTTCCAAATATCCACTTGCAGATTCTACAAAAAAAGGGTTGCAAAACTGCTCATTCAACGGAAATGTTCAATTCTGTGAGATGAATGCACACATCACAAAGAAATTACTCAGAATACTTCTGTGTAGTTTTTATGTGAAGATATTTGCTTTTCCATAGTAGGCCTCAGAGTGCTCCAATATCCACTTTTAGGTTTTACGAAAACAGTGTTTTAAAACAGTCCAATCAAAAGAAAGTTTCAACTCTGTGAGATGAATGCACACATCATGAAGAAGTTTCTCAGAATACTTCCATATAATTTTAATGTGAAGATATTTGCTTTTCCACAGGAGGCCTCAAAGCGCTCCAAATATCCACTTGCAGATTCTACAAATCAAGTGTTTCAAATCTGCTCAATCATAAGATAGGTTCAACTCTGTGATGTGAAGGCACACATCACAAAGAAGTTTCTCAGTATGGGTCTCTGTAGTGTTTACTAGAAGATATTTCCTCATCGTCCATAGGCCACATCAGGCTCCAAATATCCACTTGCAGATTCTAGAAAAACAGAGATTCAAAGCTGCTCAATCAAAAGATAAGTTCAACTCTGCGAGTTGAATGCACTCATCACAAAGAAGTTACTCAGAATGCTTCTGTGTAGTTTTTATGTGAAGATATTTCCTTTTCCACAAAAACCCTCAAAACGCTCCAAATATCCACTTGCAGATTCTACAGTGTTTCAAAACTGCTAAATCATAAGATAGATTCAATTCTGTGAGATGAATGCACACATCCCATAGAAGTTTCTCATAATGCTTCTGTGTAGTTTTTATGTTATTTCCTTTTCCACAATAGGCTTGAAAGCGCTCCAATTATCCAATTGCAGATTCTACAAAAAGAATGTTTCAAAACTGATCAATCATAAGATAGGTTCAACTCTGTGAGATGAATGTACACATCACAAAGATGTTTCTCAGAAGGATTCTGTGTAGTTTTTATGTGAACATATTTGCTTTTCCACAGATGGCCTCAAAACCCTCCAAATGTCCACTTGCAGATTCAACAAAAATAGTGTTTCCAAAGTGCTGAATAATAACATAGGTGCAACTCTGTGAGATGAATGCTCACATCACAAAGAAATTTCTCAGAATTCTTCTGTGTAGTTTTTATTTGAAGATATTTCCTTTTTTTCCATATGCCCCAAAGGGCTCCAAATATCCACTTGCAGATTCACGAAAAGAGAGATTCAAAACTGCTCAATCAAAAGAAAGGTTCAGCTCTGTGAGGTGAATGCACACATCATAAAGAAGTTTCTCAGAATGCTTCTGTGTAGTTTTTATGTGAAGATATTTGCTTCTCCACAGTAGGTCTAAAAGTGCTCCAAATGTCCACTTGCAGATTCTACAGAAACAGTGTTTCAAAACTGCTCAATCAAAAGAATCGTTCAACTCTGTGAAATGAATGCAGGCATCACAAAGGAGTTTCTCAGAATGCTTCTGTGTAGTTTTTATGTGAAGAGATTTCCTTTTTCACAGTAGGCCTTAAAGTGCTCCAAATATCTGCTAGCAGATTCTACAAAGAGAGTGTTTAAAATCTGCTCAATCATAAGATAGCTTCAACTCTGTGAGATGAATGCATACATCACACAGAAGTTTCTCAAATTCTTCTGTGTAGTGTTTATTTGAAGATATTTATTTTTCGTCCACAGGCTGCATAGGACTCCCAATATCCACTTGCAGATTCTACACAAAGAGAGATTCAAGACTGCTTAAACAAAAGATTGGTTCAACTCTGTGTGTTGAATTCACACATCGCAAAGAAGTTTCTCAGAATGCTTCTGTGTAGTTTTTATTTAAAGATATTTCATTTTCCACAATACGCGTCAAAGCGCTCCAAATATCCAATTGCAGATTCTACAAAAAGGGTGTTTTACAGCTGCTCAATCAAAAGAAAGGTTCAACTCTCTGAGACGAATGCACACATTGCAAAGAAGTTACTCAGAATGCCATGGTGTAGTTTTTTCGTGAAGTTATTTACTTTTCCACAGTATGCCTCAAAGCGCTCCTATTATCCACTTGCAGATTCCACAAGAAGAGTGTTTCAAAACTGCTCAATCATAAGATAGGTTCAACACTATGAGATGAATGCACACATCACAAAGATGTTTCTCAGAAGGGTTCTGTGTAGTTTTTATCTCAAGATATTTGCTTTTCCACATAAGGTTCAACTCTGTGAGATGAATGCACACATCAGAAAGAAGTTTCTCAGAATGCTTCTGTGAAGTTTTTACTTGAAGATATTTCCTTTTCCTCCATAAGGTACAAAAGTCTCCAATTATCCAGTTGCAGACTCTACCAAAAAGTAGAGTCAAAACTGCGCAATCAAAACACAGGTTCACCTCTGTGAATTGAATGTACACATCACAAAGAAGTTTCTCAGAATGCTTCTGTGTAGTTTTCATGTGAAGATATTTCCTTTTCCACATTAGGCCTTAAAGCACTCCAATTATCCACTTACAGCTTCTAAAAAGAGAGTGTTTCAAAACTGCTAAATCATAACATAGGTTCAATTCTGTGAGATGAACGCCCACATCCCAAAGAAGTTTCTCAGAATTCTTCTGTCTAGTTTTTATGTGAAGATATACTCTGTTCCACCATAGGCCTCAAAGCGATAGAAATGTCCAATTGCAGATTCTACAAAAAGAGAGTTTCAAAACTGCTGAATCAAAAGAAGGGGTTAACCCTTTGAGATGAATACACATATCGTAAAGAAGTTTCTCAGATTGCTTCTGTCTGGATTTTATGTGAAGATATTTCCTTTTCCACCTTAAGTCGCAAGGCACTCCAAATGTCCACTTGCAGATTCTACAGAAAGAGTGTTCCAAACCGTTCAATCAAAAGAAAAGTTCAACTCAGAGATATGAACGCACATATCAAAAATAAGTTTCTCAGAATTCTTCTGTCTAGTTTTTATGTGATGATATTTCCTTTTCCAACATAGGCCTCAAGGCGCTCGAGGTGTCCACTTGCAGATTCTACAAAAAGAGTACTTCAAAACTGGTCCTTCAAAAGAAAGGTTCATCTCTGGGAGATGAATGCACACATCACAAAGAAGTTTCTCTGAATGCTGCTATCTAATTTTTATGTGAAGATATTTCCTTTTCCACCATAAGCTTCAAAGCTCTCCAAATGTCCACTTGCAGATAGTACAAAAAGAGAGTTTCAAAACTACTCAATCAAAAGACAGCTTTAACTCTGTGAGATGAATGCACTCATCACAAAGAAGTTTCTCAGATTGCTTCTGCCTAGATTTTATGTGAAAGATATTTCCTTTTCTACCATAGGCCATAAAGCGTTCCAAAAGTCCACTTGCGGATTCTACAAAAAGAGTGTTTCCAAACTACTCAATCCAAAGAAAGGTTCAACTCTATGAGATGAACGCACACATCACAAAGAAGTTTCTCGGAATACTTCCGTCTAGTTTCTATGTGAAGGTATTTCCTTTTCCACCATAGGCCTCAAAGCGCTCTAAATGTCCACTTGTAGATTCTACAAAAAGAGAGTTTCAAAACTGCTCAATCTAAAGAAAGTTTTAACTCTGTGAGGTGAATTAACCCATCACGAAGAAGTTTCTCAGACTGCTTCCGTCTAGATTTTATGTCAAGATATTTCCTTTTCTACCATAGGCTGCAAAGCACTCCAAATGTTCACTTGCAGATTCTACAAAAGGAGTGTTTCCAAACTGCTCAATCAAGAGAATGGTTCAACTCTGTGAGTTGAACGTACACATCACCAAGAAGTTTCTCAGAATTCTTCTGTTTAGTTTTTATTTGAAGATATTTCCTTTTCCACCATAAGCCTCAAAGCGCTCCAAATTTCCACTTGCAGTTTCTGCAAAAAGAGAGTTTCAAAACTGCTCAATCAAAGGAAAGTTTTAACTGTGTGAGATGAATGCACACAGCATAAGGAAGTTTCTCAGATTGCTTCTGTCTAGATTTTATGTGAAGATATTTCCTTTTCTAACAGAGGCCACAAAGCGCTCTAAATGTTCACTTGCAGATTCTACAAAAAGAGTGTTTCCAAACTGCTCAATTCAAAGAAAGGTTCAACTCTGTGAGATGAATGCACACATCACAAAGAAGTTTCTCAGAATTCTTCTGTCTAGTTTTTATGTGAAGATATTTCCTTTTCCACCATATTCCTCAAAGAGCTCTAAATGTCCGCTTGTAGATTTTTAAAAAAGAGAGTTTCATAAATGCTCAATCAAAAGAAAGGTTTAACTCTGTGAAATGAATGCACACATCACAAATAAGTTTCTCAGATTGCTTCTGTCTAGATTAAAGTGAAGATATTTCCTTTTCTACAATAGGCTGCAAAGCGCTCCAAATGTCCACTTGCAGATTCAACAAAAAGAGTGTTTCCAAACTGCTCAATCAAAAGAAAGTTTCAACTATCTGAGATGAAAGCACATATCACTAAGAAGTTTCTCAGATTGCTTCTGTCTAGATTTTATGTGAAGATACTGCTTTTTCTAATATAGGCCGCAAAGCACAAAAATGTCCACTTGCAGATTCTACAAAAAGAGTGTCTCCAAACTGCTCTATCAAAATAAAGGTTCAACTTTGTGAGATGAACGCACACATCACAAAGAAGTTTCTCAGATTTCTTCTGTCTACAATTTATGTGAAAATATTTCCTTGTCAACCACAGGATGCAATGAGCTCCAAATGTCCACTTGCAGATTCTACAAAAAGATTGTTTCCAAACTGCTCAATCAAAAGAAAGGCTCAACTCAGTGAGATGAATGCACAAATCACAAAGAAGTTTCTCAGTATTATTCTGTCTAGTTTTTATGTGAACATATTTCCTCTTCCACCATAGGCCTCAAAGCGCTCCAAATGTCCACTTGCAGATTCTGCAAAAAGAGAGTTCCAAAGCTGCTCAATCAAAAGAATGGTTTATATCTGTGAGATGACTGCACACATCACAAAAACTTTTAGTGTGCTTCTTTCTAGATTTTATGTAAAGATATTTCCTTTTCTACCATAGGCCACAAAGCACTCCAAATGTCCACTTGCAGATTCTACAATAAGAGCGTTGCCTAACTACTCAATCAAAAGAAATGTTAAAATCTGTGAGATTAACGTACAAGTCACAAGTAAGTTTCTCACAATTCTTCAGTCTAGTTTTTATGTGAAGATATTTCGTTTTCCACCATAGGCCTCAAAGCACTCCAAATGTCCACTTGCAGATTCTACAAAAAGAGAGTTCCAAAACTGCTCAATCAAAAGAAAGCTTTAACTCTGTGAGATGAATGCACACAACACAAAGAAGTTTCTCTTATGGCTTCTGTCTAGATTTTATGTAAAGATACTTCCTTTTCTAACATAGGCCGCAAAGCGATCCAAATGTCCACTTGCAGATTCTACAAAAAGAGCGTTTCAAAACTGCTCAGTTAGAGGAAAGTTTTAACTGTGTGACATGAATGCACACATCACAACGAAGTTTCTCAGATTGCTACTGTGTAGATTTTATGTTAAGATATTTCCTTTTTTCACAGAGACCGCAAAGCGCTCCAAATGTCCACTTGCAGATTCTACAAAAAGAGAGTTCCAAAACTGCTCAATCAAAAGAAAGCTTTAACTCTGTGAGATGAATGCACACAACACAAAGAAGTTTCTCTTATGGCTTCTGTCTAGATTTTATGTAAAGATACTTCCTTTTCTAACATAGGCCGCAAAGCGATCCAAATGTCCACTTGCAGATTCTACAAAAAGAGCGTTTCAAAACTGCTCAGTTAGAGGAAAGTTTTAACTGTGTGACATGAATGCACACATCACAACGAAGTTTCTCAGATTGCTACTGTGTAGATTTTATGTTAAGATATTTCCTTTTTTCACAGAGACCGCAAAGCGCTCCAAATGTCCACTTGCAGGTTCTACAAAAAGAGAGTTTCAAAACTGCTCAATTCAAAGAAAGGTTCAACTCTGTGAGATGAATGCACATATCACAAAGTAGTTTCTCAGAATTCTTCTATCTAGTTTTTATGTGAAGATATCCCCTTCTAAAATAGGCCCAAAAGCGCTCCAAATGTCTGCTTGCAGGTTCTACACAAAGAGTATTTCCAAATTGCTCCATCAAAAGAAATGTTCAACTCCGTGAAATTAACGCACGCATTACAAAGAAGTTTCTCAAAATTCTTCTGACTAGTTTTCATGTGAAGATTTTTGCTTTTCCTCCACAGGCCTCAAAGTGCTCCAAATGTCCACTTGCAGATGCTACAAAAAGAGTGTTTCCAAACTGCTCAATCAAAAGAAAGTTTCAACCCTGTGAGATGATCGCACACATCAGAAAGAAGTTTCTCAGATTGCTTCTGTCTAGATTTTATGTGAAGATATTTCCTTTAGTACAACAGGCCCCAAAGTGCTCCAAATGTCCACTTGCAGATTCTAGAAAAAGAGTGTTTCCAAACTGCTGAATCAAAATAAAGGTTCAACTCTGTGAGATCAACGCACACATCACAAATAAATGTCTCAGAATTCTTCTGTATAGTTTTTATGTGAAGATATTTCCTTTTCCACAATAG
Source organism: Homo sapiens (assembly GCF_000001405.40). NCBI lineage: Eukaryota > Metazoa > Chordata > Mammalia > Primates > Hominidae > Homo > Homo sapiens. The sequence continues at coordinate 28,939,250 of NC_000020.11, read as the reverse complement.
ACATCAAAGCGCTCCAAATGTCCACTTGCAGATTCTACAAAAAGAGTATTTCAAAACTGTTCAATCAAAAGAAAGGCTTAAGTCTGTGAGATTAATGCACACAACACTAAGAAGCTTCTCAGATTACTTCTGTCTAGATTTTACTTGAAGATTTTTCCCTTTCTACCACAGGCCGCAAAACGCTCCAAATGTCCACTTTCAGATTCTACAAAAACAGAGTTTCAAAACTGCTCAATCAAAAGAAAGCTTTAAATCTGTGAGATGAAAACACACATCAAAAGTAGTTTCTCATATTGCTTCTGTCTAGATTTTATGTGAAGATATTTCCTTTTCTACCATAGGCCACAATGCGCTCCAAAGGTCCACTTGCAGATTCAACAAAAAGAGGGTTTCCAAACTGCTCAACCAAAGGGAAGTTTCAAGTATGTGAGATGAATGCACACACCACAAAGAAGTTTCTCAGAATTCTTCTGTCTAGTTTTTATGTGAAGGTATTTTCTTTTCCACCATAGGCCTCAAAGTGCTCCAAATGTCCACTTGCAGATCCTACAAAAAGAAAGTTTCAAAACTGCTCCATCAAAAGAAAAGTTTAACCCTGTGAGATGAATGCACACATCACAAGGAAGTTTCTCAAATTGCTACTGTGTAGGTTTTATGTTAAGATATTTCCAACAGAGGCCGCAAAGAGCTCCAAATGTCCACTTGTAGGTTCTACAAAAAGAGTGTCAAAACTGCTCAATTCAAGGAAAGGTTCAACTCTGTGAGATGAATGCACACATCACAAAAAAGTTTCTCAGAATTCTTCTGTCTAGTTTTTATATGAAGATATTCCCCTTTCTAAAATAGGCCCAAAAGCGCTCCAAATGTCTGCTTGCAGATTCTAAAAAAAGAGTGTTTCCAAACTGCTCCATCAAAAGAAATGTTCAATTCTGTGAGATTAAACCACGCATCACAAAGAAGTTTCTCAAAATTCTTCTGTCTAGTTTTTATGTGAAGATTTTTACTTTTCCACCACAGGCCTCAAAGCGCTCCAAATGTCCACTTGCAGGTTCTACAAAAAGAGTGTTTCCAAACTGCTCAATTCAAAGAAAGGTTCAACTCTGTGAGACGAACGCACATATCACAAAGAAATTTCTCAGAATTCTTGTGTCTAGTTTTTATGTGAAGATATTTCCTTTTCCACCATAGTCCTCAAAGCGCTCCAAATGTCCCCTTGTAGAATTTACAAAAAGAGAGTTTCATAAATGCTCAATCAAAAGAAAGGTTTAACTCTGTGAGATGAATGCAAACATCACAAAGAAGTTTCTCACATTGCTTCTGTGTAGATGTTAGGTGAAGATACTTCCTTTTCTACCATAGGCCGCAAAGTGCTCAAAATGTCCCCTTGCAGATTCTACAAAAGAGTGTTTCCAAACTGCTCAATCAAAAGAAAGTGTCAACTCAGTGGGATGAAAGCACATATCACTAAGAAATTTCTCGATTGCTTCCGTCTAGATTTTATGTGAAGATACTGCCTTTTCTAACATAGGCCGCAAAGCGCAAAAATGTGCAGTTGCACATTCTACAAAAGGAGACTTTAAAAACTGCTCTATCAAAAGATAGGTTCAACTCTGTGAGCTGAATGCAGACATCACAAAGAGCTTTCTCAGATTGTTTCTCTCTAGATTTTATGTGAAGATATTTCCTTCTCTAACATAGGCCGCAAAGTGCTCCAAATGTCCACTTGCTGATTCTAAAAAAAGAGTGTTTCCAAACTGCTCAATCAAAACAAAGGTTCAACTCTGTGAGATGAACACACACATCACAAAGAAGTTTCTCAGATAGCTTCTGTCTAAAATTTATGGAAGATAATTCCTTTTCAACCACAGGATGAAAAAAACTCCAAATGTCCACTTGCAGATTCCACAAATGATTGTTTCCAAACTGCTCAATCAAAAGAAAGGTTCAAAGAAGTTTCTCAGAATTCTTCTGTCTAGTTTTAATGTGAACATATTTCCTCTTCCACCATAGGCCTCAAAGCGCTCCAAATGCCCACTTGCAGATTCTTCAAAAAGAGAGTTCCGAAACTGCTCAATGAAAAGACAGGTTTATCTCTGTGAGATGAATGCACACATCACAAAAAACTTTTTCAGATTACTTTCCAATTTCATCCATGTCCCTACAAAGGACATGAACTCATCATTTTTATGGCTGCATAGTATTCCATGGTGTATATGTGCCACATTTTCTTAATCCAGTCTATCATTGTTGGACATTTGGTTTGGTTCCAAGTCTTTGCTAACACTCTTTTTGTAGAATCTGCAAGTGAATATTTGGAGCGCTTCCAGTCCTATGGTGTTAAAGGAAATATCTTCACATCAAAACTAGACAGAAGCATTCTGAGAAACTGCTTTGTGATGTCTGCATTCATCTCACAGGTTTGAACCTTTCTTTTGATTAAGCAGTTTTGAAACACACTTTTTGTAGAATCTGAAGGTAGATATTGGGAGTACTTTGGGGCTTATGGTATGAAAGAAAATATCTTCAAATGAAAACTAGACAGAAGCATTCTGAGAAAAAACTTTGTGATGTGTGCATTCGTCTCACTGAGTTGAACGTTTCTTTTGATTGAGTAGTTTTGAAACGTACATTTGTAGAATCTACCAGTGGATATTTGGAGTGCTTTGTGGCCTGTGGTGGAAAAGGAAATATCTTCACATAAAAACTAGACAGAAGCATTCTGAGGAACTTATTTGTGATGTGCTCATTCAACTCACAGATTTAAACTTTTCTTTTGATTGAACAGTTTGGAAACAGTCTTTTTGTAGTACCTGCAAATGGATATTTGGAGCGCTTTGGGGCCTGTGGTGGAAAAGGAAATATATGCACATGAAAACTAGACAGAAACATTATGAGAAACTGCTCTGCTATGCGTGCATTCATCAACAGAGTTGAACCTTTCTTTTGATTGAACAGATTTGAAACACTCTTTCTGTAGAATCTGAAGGGGATATTTGGAGGGCTTTGCAGCCTATGGTGAAAAACGAAATATCTTCACATAAAAACTAGAGAGAAGCATTCTGAGAAAGTGCTTTGTGATGTGTGCATTCATCTCACAGAGTTAAACCTTTCTTTTGATTGAGCAGTTTTGAAACACTCTTATTGTACAATCTGCAAGTGGATATTTGGAGAGTTTGAGGCCATTGGTGGAAAAGCAAATATCTTCACATAAAAAACAGACAGAACAATTCTGAGAAATCTCTTTGTGATGCATGCATTCAACTCACAGAGTTGGACCTTTCCTTTGATTGAGCAGTTTGGAAGCAGTCTTTTTGCAGTATCTGCAAATGGATATTTGGAGCACTTTCAGGTCTATAGTAGGAAAGGAAATATCTTCACATAAAAACTAGACAGAAAATTACTGAGAAACTTCTTAGTGATGTGTGCATTCATCTCACAGAGTTGAAACTTTCTTTTGATTGAGCAGTTTGGAAACACTCTTTTAGTAGAAACTGCAAGGGGATATTTGGAGCACTTTGCGGTCTTTGGTAGAAAAGGATATATCTTCACATAAAAAATAGAAGCATTTTGAGGAACTTCTTCATGATGTGTGCATTCATCTCAAAGTGTTGAACTTTTCTTTTGATTGAGCAGCTTTGAAAAACTCTTTCTGCAGAATCTGCAAGTTGGTATTTGGAGTGCTTTGCAGCCTATAGTAGAAAAGGAAATATCTTCACATAAAACTAGACAGAAGCATTCTGAGAAACTTCTTTGTGATGTGTGCATTCATCTCACAGAGTTGAACCTTTCTTTTGTTTGAGCAGTTTTGAAACTCTCTTTTTGTAGAATCTTCAAGTGGATATTTTTAGCACTTTGAGGCCTATGATGGAAAAGAAAACATCTTCACATAAAAACTAGTCAGAAGCTTTCTGAGAAACTTCTTTGAGATGTGTGCATTCAACTCATGGAGTTGAACCTTTCTTTTGATTCAGCAGTTTGTAAACAGTCTTTTTGTAGTATCTGCAGATTGATATTTGGAGAGCTTTGAGCCCTATGGTGCAAAAGGAAATATCTTCACATAAAAACTAGACAGAAGCATTCTGAGAAACTTCTTTGTGTTGTGTGCATTCATCTCACAGAGTTGAACCCTTGTTTTGATTGAGCAGTGTTGAAACACTCTTTATAGAATCAGCAAGTGGACATTTGTTGTGCTTTGAGGCCTATGGTGGAAAAGGAAATATCTTCACAGAAAAACCACAAAGAAGAATTCTGAGAAACACCTTTGTGGTGTGTGGTTTCATCTCTCATATTTGAACCTTTCTCTTTATTGAGCAGTTTGGAAACAATCTTTTTGTAGCATCTGCAAATGGATTTTTGGAGCTCTTTGAGGCCTGTGGTGAAGAAGGAAGTATCCTCACATATAAACCAGACAGAAGGATTCCTAGAAACTGCTTTGTGATGTGTGCATTAATCTCACAGATTTGAAACTTTCTTTTGATTGAGCAGTTTTGAAACACTCTTTGTGTAGAATCTGCAAGTCGATATTTGGGCGTTTTGTGTCCCATATTGGAAAAGGAAATATCTTCACATAGAAACTTTACAGAAGCATTCTGAGAAACTTCTTTGTGATATGTGCATTCAATTCACAGGGTTTAACTTTCTTTTGATTGAGCAGTTTGGAGCCCATCATTTTGTAGAATCTGTGAAGGGGTGTTTTTTTTTCCCATTGAGGCTTATGGTGTAATAGGAAATATCTTCACATAAAAACTAAACAGAAAATTTCTGAGAAAATTCTTTGTGATATGTGCTTTCATCTCACAGAGTTGAAACTTTCTTTTGATTGGGCAGTTTGGAATCAGTCTTTCTGTAGAATCTGCAAGTTGATATTTGGAGGGCTTTGAGACCTATGGTGAAAAAGGAAATATCTTCACATTAAAAATATACAGAAGCATTCTGAGAAACTTCTTTGTCTTGTGTGCATTAATTTCGCAGACTTGAACCTTTGTATTGATTGAACAGTTTGGAGGCAGTAGTTTTGTAGAATCTGTAGAGGGATATTTTTCAGCCTACTGAGGCTTCTGGGGAAATAGGGAATATCTTCAGATAAGAACTAGACAGAAGCATTCTGAGAAACTTCCTTCTGATGTGTGCATTCATTTCACAGAGTTGAACCTTTCTTTTGATTGAGCAGTTTGGAAACAGTCTTTCTGTAGTAACTGCAAATGGATATTTGGAGTGCTTTGAGGCATACGTTTAAAAAGGAAAAAAAAACAAACAAACAACCCCTTCAAAAAGTGGGCGAAGGACATGAACATACACTTCTCAAAAAAATATGTTTATGCAGCCAAAAAACACATGAAAAAATGCCCACCATCACTGGCCATTAGAGAAATGCAAATCAAAACCATAATGAGATACCATCACACACCAATTAGAATGGCAATCATTAAAAAGTCAGGAAACAACAGGTGCTGGAGAGGATGTGGAGAAATAGGAACACTTTTACACAGTGGGTGGCACTGTAAACTAGTTCAACCATTGTAGAAGTCAGTGTGGCGATTCCTCAGGGATCTAGAACTAGAAATACCATTTGACCCAGCCATCCCATTACTGGGTATATACACAAAGGATTATAAATCATGCTGCTATAAAGACACATGCACACTTATGTTTATTGCAACACTATTCACAATAGCAAAGACTTGGATCCAACCTGAATGTCCAACAATGATAGACTGGATTAAGAAAATGTGGCACATATACACCATGGAATACTATGCAGCCATAAAAAATGATGAGTTCATGTCCTTTGTAGGGACATGGATGAAATTGGAAATCATCATTCTCAGTAAACTATCGCAAGAACAAAAGACCAAACACTGCATATTCTCACTCATAAGTGGGAATTGAACAATGAGAACACATGGACACAGGAAGGGGAACGTCATACTCTGGGGACTGTTGTGGGGTGGGGTGAGAGGCCAGGGATAGCATTAGGAGATATACCTAATGCTAAATGATGAGTTAATGGGTGCAGCACACCAGGGTGGTACATGTATACATATGTAACTGACCTGCACATTGTGCACATGTACCCTAAAGCTTAAAGTATAATAATAATAAAATAAATAAATAAATAAAAAGGAAATATATTCACATAAAAACTTGACAGAAGCATTCTGAGGAACTTCTTTGTCATGTGTGCATTCATTTCACAGAGTTGAAACTTTCTTTTGATTGAGCAGTTTTGAAACACTCTTTTTTTCAGAATCTGCAACTGGATATTTGGTGAACATTGAGGCCTATGGTGGAAAAGGAAATATCTTCACATAAAAATCAGACACAAGCATTCAGAGAAACTTCTTTGTGATGTGCGCATTCAACTCCCTGTGTTGAAACTTTCTTTTGATTGAGCAGTTTTAACACACTCTTTTTGTAGAATCTGCAAGTGGATATTTGGAGCACTTTGATGCCTATGATGGAAAAGGAAATATCTTCATATAAAAGCTAGACAGAAGCATTCTGAGAATGTTCTTTGTGATGTATGCATTCATCTCACTGAGCTGAACCTTTCTTTTTTGAGAAGTATTTAAACACTCTTTTTGTAGAATCTGCAAGTGGATACTTGGAGTGCTTTGAGGCCTTTAGTGGAAAAGGAAATATCTTCACAGAAAAACTAGACAGAAGCATTCTGAGAAACCTCTTTGTTATGTGTACATTCATCTCACAGAGTTGAGCCTTTCTTTTGATTGAGCAGTTCAGAAACACTCTTTTTGTAGGATCTGCAAGTGGATATTTGGAGTGATTTGAGGCCTATAGTGGAAAAGGAAATAACTTCATGTAAAAAGTAGACAGAAACATTCTGAAAAACTTCTTTGCGATGTGTGCATTTTTCTCACAAAGTTAAACCTATCTTATGATTGAGCAGTTTTGAAACACCCTTTCTGTGGAATCTTCAATTGGATATTTGGAGTGCTTAGATGCCTGTGCTGGAAAAGGAAATATCTTCACATAAAAACCAGCAAGAAGCATTCTGAGAAAGTTCTTTGTGATATGTGCATTCATCTCACAGAACTGAAATTTTCTTTTGATTGAGCAGTTTGGACACAGTCTTTTTCTCGCCTGCAAATGGATATTTAGAGCACTTTGAGGCCTATGGTGAAAAATGAAATATCTTCCCCTAAAAACTAGGCAGAAGCATTCTGAGAAACTTCTTTGTGATGTGTGCATTCATGTCACAGAGCTGAAACTTTCTTTTGATTGAGAAGTTTTGAAAAACTCTTTCGTAGAGTGTGCAAGTGGATATTTGGAGCGTTTTGAGGCCTATGGTGGAAAAGGAAATATCTTCACATAAAAACTAGACAGAAGCATTCTGAGAAATTTCTTTGTGATGTGTGCATTCATCTCATGAAGTTGAACCATTCTTTTGATTGAGCAGTTTTGAAACACACTTTTTGTAGTATCTTCAATTGGATATTTGTAGAGCTTTGAGGCCTATGGTAGAAAAGGAAACACTGTCACATAAAAACTAGACAGAAGCATTCTGAGAAACTTCTGCCTGATTGGGTGTATTCATTTCATGGAGTTGAACCTTTCCTTGTATTGAACAGTTTGGAAACAGTCGTTTTGTAGAATCTGCAGAGAGATATTTTTGAGCCCATTGAGACGTATGGGGTGATAGGAAATATCTTCACATAAAAACTAGACAGAAACTTTCTGAGAAACTTCTTTCTGATGTGTGCTTTCATCTCACAGATTTGAACTTTTCTTTTGATTGAGCAGTTTTGAAACAGTCTTTTTGTACAATCTACAAGTGGATATTTGGGGCACTTTCAGGCCTATGGTGGAAAAGGACACATCTTCCCATAAAAACTAGACAGCAGCATTCTGAGAAACTTCTTTGTGATCTGTGCATTCATCTCACAGAGTTGAACCTTTCTTTTGATTCAGCCGTTTTGAAACTGTCTTTTTGTAGAATCTGCAAAGGGATATTTGTGAGCCCATTGAGGCTTCTGGGGAGATAGGAAATATCTTCACATAAAAACTAGACAGATACTTTCTGAGAAACTAGTTTGTCATGTGTGACTTCAACTCACCGGGTTGAAACTTTCTCTTGATTGAGCAGTTTGGGAACAGTCTTTTTGTAGAATCTGCAAATGAATATTTGGAGCACTTTTGGCCTATGTTGAAAAATGAAGTATCTTCCCATAAAAACTAGGGAGAAGTATTCTGAGAAATTTCTTTGTGATGTGTGCATTCATCTCGCACAGTTGAACTTTTGTTTTGATTGAGCAGTGTGGAAACACTCTTTTTGTAGAATCTGCAAGTGGATATTTTGAGAGCTTTGTGGCCTATAGTGAAAAAGGAAATATCTTCACATAAAAACCAAACAGAAGAATTTGAGAAACTTCCTTTGAATGTGCGCATTCATCTCACAGTGTTGAATCTTTTTTTTTGATTGAGCAGCTTCTAAACAGTCATTTTGTAGAATATGCAAAGGAATATTTGTGAGCCCATTGATGCCTCTTGGGAAATAGGAATTATCTTCAAATAAAAACTAGACAGAATCTTTCTCAGAAACTTCTTTGTGATGTGTGCATTCATCTCACTGAGTTGAACTTTATTTTTATTGAGCAGTTTGGAAACAGTCTTTTTCTAGTATCTGCAAATGGATATTTTAAGCGCTCTGAGGCCTACGGTGAAAAAGGAAATATCTTCAATATAAATCAGACAGAAGCATTCATAGAAACTTCTTTGTGAGGTGTGCATTCATCTCACAGATTAGAACTTTTCTTTTGATTTAGCAGTTTTGAAACACTCTTTTTGTAGAATCTGCAATGTATGTTTGAAGCGCATGAGGAATATGGTGGAAAAGGAATCTTCTTCACATAAAAACGAGACAGAAGTATTCTGAGAAACTTTTCTGTGATGGGTGAAAAAGGAAATACGGTGAAAAAGGAAATATCTTCACATAAAATCAGACAGAAGCATTTGTAGAAACTTCTTTGTGACGTGTGCATTCATCTCACAGATTTGAACCTTTCTTTTGATTGAACAGTTTTGAAACCATCTTATAGCAGAATCTGCAAGTGTATATTTGGAATGCATGTGGAATATGGTGGAAAAGGAATCTTCTTCACATAAAAACTATAAAGAAGTATTCTGAGAAACTTCTTTTTGATGGGTGCATTCATTTCACAGGGTTGAACCTTTCCTGTGATTGAGCAGTTTGGGAACCATCGTTTTGTGTAATCTGCAAAAGGATACTTGTGAGCCGATTGAGGTCTATGGGGCGATAGGAAATATATTCACATTAAAACTAGACAGAAACTTTCTGAGAAACTTCTTTGTGATGTTTCCTTTCATCTCACAGAGTTGAAACTTTCTCTTGATTGGACAGTTTGGAAGCAGTATTTTTGTGATATCTGCAAATGGATATTAACAGCACTTTGATGCCTATGGTGAAAAAGGAAATATGTTCCCATAAAAACTAGGCAGAGGCATTCTGAGAAACTTCCTTGTGATGTCTGCATTCATCTCACAGAGTTGAACAGTTCTTTTGATTGAGCAGTTTTGAAACACTCTGTTTGTAGAATCCGCAAGGGGATGTTTGGAGTGCTTAAAGGCCTATTGTGGAAAAGGAAATATCTTCACATAAAAACTAGATAGAATAATTCTGAGAAACTTCTTTGTGTTGTGGGCATTCATCTAACAGAGTTGAAAGTTTCTACTGATTCAGCAGTTTGGAAGCAGTCATTTTGTAGAATGTCCAGAGGGGTATTTGTGAGCCAACTGAGGCCCATGGGGAAATAGGAAATATTTTCACATAAAAACTAGACAGAAACTTTATGAGAAACTACTTTGTGATTTGTTCTTTCATCTCACAGAGTTGAACCTTTCTTTTCATTAAAGAGTTTGGAAACAGTCTTTTTGTAATATCTGCAAATGGATATTTGAAGGGCTTTGAGTCCTATGGTGAAAAAGTAAATATCTTAACATAAAAACCAGAGAGAAGCATTCCTAGAAACTACTTTGTTATGTGTGCATTCATCTCATGTTGTTGTACCTTTCTTTTGATTGAACAGTTTTTTTTTTTTTGTTTTTTTTTGAGACAGAGTCTCGCTCTGTCGCCCAGGCTGGAGTGCAGTGGCGGGATCTCGGCTCACTGCAAGCTCCGCCTCCCGGGTTCACGCCATTCTCCTGCCTCAGCCTCCCAAGTAGCTGGGACTACAGGCGCCCGCCACTACGCCTGGCTAATTTTTTGTATTTTTAGTAGAGACGGGGTTTCACCGTTTTAGCCAGGATGGTCTCGATCTCCTGACCTCGTGATCCGCCCGCCTCGGCCTCCCAAAGTGCTGGGATTACAGGCGTGAGCCACCGGATTGAACAGTTTTGAAACATACTTTTTGCAGAATCTGCAAGGGGATACTTGGAGCGCGTTGAGGCCTATGGTGGAAAAGGAAATATCTTCATATAAAAACTAGACAGAAGCATTCTAAGAAACTTCATTGTGATGTGTGCATTCATTACACCGAGTTGAGCCTTTCTGTTCATTGAGCAATTTGGAAAACATCGTTTTGTAGAATCTACAGAGGGATATTTGTGAGCCCATTGAGGCCTGTGGGATGATAGGAAATATCTTCACATAAAAACTAGACAGAAACTTTCTGAGAAACTTGTTTGTGCTGTGTGTTTTCAACTCACAGAGATGAGCCTTTCTTTTGATTGAGCAGTTTGAAAACACTCTTTTTGTAGAATCTGTAAGTGGATATTTGGAGCGATTTGTGGTCTATGGTGGAAAAGGAAATATCTTCAAATAAAATGAGACAGAAGCATTGTGAGAAACTTCTTTGTGATGTGTGCATTCATTTCACAGAGTTGAATCTTTCTTTTGACTGAGCAGTTTGGCAGCAGTCTTTTGTAGTATCTGCAAATGGATATTAGCAGCGATTTGAGACCTATGATAAAAAAGGAAATATCTTCCCATAAAAACTAGGCAGAAGCATTTTGAGAAACTTCTTTGTGATGTGTGCATTTATCTCACAGAGTTAAACATTTCTTTTTATAGAGCAGTTTGGAAACAGTCTTCTTGTAGTATCTGCAAATGGTAATTTGAGTGCTTTGAGGCCTATGTTGGAAAACGAAATATCCTCATGTTAAAACTACACTGAAGCTTTCTGGGAAACTTCTTTGTGTTGTGTGCATTCATCTCACAGAGTTGAACCTTTCTTTTGATTGAGCAGTTTTGAAACTCTCTCTTTATAGTATCTGCAAATGGATATTTGGAGCGCTTTGAGGTCTGTAGTGGAAAAAGAAATATCTTCACATAAAATCTAGAATGAAGAATTCTGAGAAACTTCCTGGTGATGTGTGCTTTCATCTCACACTGGTGAACCTTTCTTTTGATGTGCAGCTTCAGTACATTCATTTTGTAGAATCTGAAAGGGAATATTTGTGGGCCCATTGAGGCCTTTGGGGAAATAGGTAATATCTTCACATAAAAACAAGACCGAAATTTCTGAGAAACTTTCTTGTGATATGTGCATTCATCACACAGAGTTGAACTTTCTTTTGATTGGGTAGTTTGTAAACAGTCATTTGTAGTATCTGCAAATTGATATTTGGAGTGTATTGAGTCCTATGGTGAAAAAGGAAATATCTTCACATAAAAATCAGACAGAAGCATTCTGGGAAACTTCTTTGTGATGTGTGCATTCATCTCACAGGCTTCAACCTTTCTTTTGATTGAGCAGTTTTGAAAGAGTCTTTTTTTACAATCTGCAAGTGGCTATTTGGAGCACTTTGATTCCTATAGTGGAAAACAAAATATTTTCACATAAAAATTAGACAGAAGCATTCTGCAAAACTTCTTCCTGATATGTTCATTCATCTCACAGGGATGAAAATTTCTTTTGATTGAGCAGTTTGGAAAGAGTCGTTTTGTAAAATCTACAAAGGGATATTTGTGAGCCCATTCAGGCCTCTGGGGAAATAGGAAATATCTTCACATAAAAACTAGACAGAAACTTTCTGAGAAACTTCTTTGTGATGTGTGCTTTCATCTCACAGAGTTGAACCTTTCTTTTGATTGAGAAGTATTGAAACACTCTTTTTGCAGAACCTGCAAATGGTTATTTGAGCTCTTTGAGATATATGGTGAAAACAGAAATATCTTCATATAAAAATTAAACAGAAGCTTTCTATGAAACTTCTTTGTGATGTATGCATTCATCTCACAGAGTTCAACCTTTCTTTTGATTGAGCAGTTTGGAAACAGTCTTTATCTACAATCTGCAAAGGGATATTTGTTAGTCGTTTGAGGCCTCTGCTTAAGAAGTAATATCTTCACATAAAAACTAGACAGAAGCTTTCGTAGAAAGTTCTTTTTTATGTGTGCTTTCATCTCACAGAGTTGACTTTTCTTTTGATTGAGCAGTTTGGAAACAGTCTTTTTGTAGTATATGCGGAGTGATATTTGTGAGTGTTTTAAGGACTATGGTGTAAAAGGAAATATCTCCACATAAAAACTAGAAAGAAGCTTTCTGAGAACCGTCTTTATGATGTGTACATTCAGCTCAAAAAGTTGAAATTTTTTTTTGATTGAGCAGTTTGGAAACAGTCTTTTATAGTACCTGCAGAGAGATATTTGTGAGCATTTTGGGGACTGTGGTGAGAAAGGAAATATCTTCACATAAAACCTAGTCAGAAGCATTCTGAGAAACTTCTCTGTGATGTGTCCATTCATCTGACAGAGTTGAAACTTTGTTTTGATTGAGCAGTTTGGAAACAGTCCTTTTGTAGGATCTGCAAAGGGATATTTCTGAGCCCATTAAGGCCTTTGTTGAAAAAGGAAATATCTTCACATAAAAACTAGACAGAAGCTTTCTGAAAAACTTCTTAGTGATGTGTGCTTTCATCTCACAGATTTGAACCTTTCTTTTGATTGAGCAGTTTGGAAACAGTCTTTTTGTACAATCTGCTAATGGATACTTGGAGCGCTTTGAAGCCTATGGTGAAAAAGGAAATATCTTCACATTAAAACTAAACAGAAGCTTTCTGAGAAACTTCTTTTTGATGAGTGCATACATCTCACAGAGTTGAACCTTGCTTTTCATTGAGCAATTTGGAAACAGTCTTTTTGTACAATCTGCAAAGGGATATTTCTGCGAAGTTTGAGGACTGTGGTGAAAAAGAAATATCTTCAGATAAAACCAGACAGAAGTATTCATAGAAACTTCTTTGTGATGTATCCATTCATCTCACAGAATTGAACCTTTCCTTTGATGGAGCAGTTTGGAAACAGTCTTTTTGCAGTATCTGCAGAGGGATATGTGAGAGTTTAAGCAGTTTAAGGCCTATGGTGAAAAACGAAATATCTTCACATAAAAACTAGACAGAGGATTTCTGAGAAACTTCTTTGTGATATGTGCTTTCATCTCACAGAGTTGAACCATTCTTTTGGCTGAGCAGTTTGGAAACAGTCTTTTTGTAGGATCTGCAAAGGGATATTTCTGTTCCCATTGATACCTATGGTGAAAAAGGACACATCTTCACATAAAAACTAGACAGAAGCTTTCTGATAAACTTCTTAGTGATGTGTGCTTTCAAGTCACAAATTTGAAACTTTCTTTTGATTGAACAGTTTGGAAACAGTCTTTTTGCAGAATCTGCAAATGGATATTTGGAGCGCTTTGAGGCCTATGGTGAAAAAGGAAATATCTTCACATGAAAAATAAACAGAAGCTTTCTGAGAAGCTTCTTTTTGATGCATGCATACATCTCACAGAGTTGAAAGTTTCTTTTCATTGAGCAGTTTGGAAACAGTCTTTTTGTACAATCTGGAAAGGGATATTTCTGAGAAGTTGGAGGCCTATATCGAAAAAGAAATATCTTCACATAAAAACTAGACAGAAGTATTCTGAGAAACTTCTTTGAGATGTATCCTTTCATCTCACAGAGTTGAAACTTAGTTTTGACTGAGCAGTTTATAGACAGCCTTTTGGAGTATCTGCAGAGGGATATCTGAGAGAAGTTTAAGGCCTATGGTGAAAAAGGAAATATCTTCACATAAAAACTAGGCAGAAGCATTCTGAGAAACTTCTTTGTGATGTGTGCATTCAACTCAAAGAGGTGAAACTTTCTTTGGATTGAGCAGTATGGAAAAAGTCCTTTTGTAGAATCTGCAAAGGGATATTTCTCAGCCCATTGAGGCCTGTGATGAAATAGGAAACATCTTCTCATAAAAACCAGACAGAAACTTTCTGAGAAATTTCTTTGAGATGTGTGCTTTCATCTCACAGAGTTGAACCTTTCTTTTGGTTCAGCAGTTTGGAAACAGTCTTTTTGTAGAATCTGCAAAGGGCTATTTTTGAGCCCTTTCTGGACTATGGTGAAACAGAAAATATCTTCACATAAAAACAAGACAGAAGCTTTCTGAGAAACTTCTTCATGATGTGTTCTTTCATCTCACAGAGTTGTAACTTTCCTTTGATTGAGCAGTTTGGAAACACTCTTTTTGAAGAATCCGCAAATGGATATTTGGAGCTCTTTGAGGCGTATGGTGAAAAAGGAAATATCTTCACATAAAACCTACAGAGAAGCATTCTGAGAAACTTCTTTGTGATGTGTGCATTCAACTCACAGTGTTCAACCTTTCTTTTGATTGAGCACTTTTGAAACATTCTTTTTGTAAAATCTGCCAATGGATATTTGGAGCACTTTGAGGTCTGTAGTGGAAAAGGAAATATCTTCACATAAATAGTAGACAGAAGCATTCTGAGAAACTTCTTTGTGATGTGTGCATTCAACTCACAGAATGGAACCCTTCTTTTGATAGAACAGTTTTGAAAGACTCCTTTTGTAGAATCTGCAATTGGATATTTGGAGCGCTATGTGGCCTTAAGTGGAAAAGGCAATATCTTCGCATAAAAACTAGACAGAAGCATTCTGAGAAATTTCTTTGTGATGTGTGCATTCATCTCACAGAGTTAAAGCTTTCTTTTTATTGAGCACTTTTGAAACACTCTTTTTGTAGAATCTGCAAGTGGATATTTGGAGCACTTTGCAGTCTATAGTGGAAAAGGAAATATCTTCACATAAATATTTGTCAGAAGCATTCTGAGAAACTTCTTCTTCATGTGTGCATTCATCTCACAGAGTTCAACCTTTCTTTTGATTGGGCAGTTTGAAACACTGTTTTTGTAGTATCTGCAAAGGGATACTTGGAGCAGTTTGAGGTCTATGGTGTAAAAGGAAATATCTTCACCTAAAACTAGACAAAAGCATTCTGAGAAACTTCTTTGTGGTGTGTGCATTCATATCACTGTCTTGATCCATTCTTTTGACTGAACCGTTTTGAAACACTCTTTGTGTAGAATCTGCAAGTGGATATTTGGAGTGCTTTGAGGGCTATTGTGGAAAAGGAAATGTCTTCACATAAAAACTAGACAGAAGCATACTGAGAAAATTCTTTGTGATGTGTGCATTCATCTCACTGAGCTGCACCTTTCTTTTGATTGAGCAGTTTTGAAACACTCTTTTTATAGAGTGTGCAAGTGGATATTTGGAGCGCTTTGATGCTTATGGTGGAAAAGCAAATATCTTCACATAAAAACTACAGAGAAGTATTCTGACAAAGTTCTTTGTGATGTGTGCGTTCAACTCACAGAGTTGAACCTTTCTTTTGATTGAGCAGTTTTGAAACAATCTTTTTTTAGAATCTGCAAGTGGATTTTTTAAGCCCTTTGTGACATCTGTTGGTAAAGGTAATATCTTCACATAAACTAGACAGAAGCATTCTCAGGAATTTCCTTGTGATGTGTGCCTTCATTTCACAGGGTTGAACATTTTCTTTGATTGAGCAGTTCTGAAACACTCTTTTTGTAGAATCTCCAAGTGGATATTTGGAGTGCTGTGTGGCCTCTGGTGGAAAAGGAAATATCTTCACATAAAAACTAGACAGAAGCATTCTGAGAAACTTCTTCGTGATGTGTGCATTCATCTCACAGAGTTGAACCTTTCTTTTGATTGAGCAGTTTTGAAACACTCTTTTTGCAGAATCTGCAAGTGGATATGTGGAGCACTTTGAGGCCATGATAGAAAAGGAAATATCTTCACATAAGAACTAGACAGAATCATTCTAAGATACTTCTTTGTGATGTGCACATTTAACTCACAGAGGTGAACATTTCTTTTGATTGAGCAGTTTTGAAACACTCTTTTTGTAGAATCAGCAGTTGGATATTTAGAGCGCTTTGAGGCCTATGGTGGAAAAGGAAATATCTTCAAATAAAAACTAGACAGAAGCATACTGAGAAACTTTTTTGTGATGTGTGCATTCAACTCACCGAGTTGAACATGTCTTTATATTGAGCAGTTAGGATACATTCTTTTCGTACCGTCTTCAAATTTGTATTTGGACAGCTTTGAGGCCTATAGTGGAAAAGGAAATATCTGCACATAAAAACTAGACAGAAGCATTCGGAGAAACTTCTTTGTGATGTGTGCATTCATCTCACAGAGTTGAACCATTCTTTTAATTAAGCAGTTTTGAAAGACTCTTTTTGTAGAATCTGCAAGTGGATATTTGGATCACTTTGAGGCATACGGTGGAAAAGAATAAATCTTCCCATAAAAACTAGCGAGAAGCATTCTGAGAAACTTCTTTGTGATGTGTGTATTCAACTCACAGAGTTGAACCTTTATTTTGATTAAGCAGTTCTGAAACACACTTTTTGTAGAATCTGCAATTGCATATTTGGATCGCTTTGCAGCCTCTTGTGGAAAAGGAAATATCTTCACATAAAAACTATAGGGAATCATTTTGAGAAACTTCTTTGTGATGTGTGCTTTCATCTCGCAGAGTGGAACCTTTCTTTTGGTTGAGCAGTTTTGAAACACTCTTTTTGTAAAATCTGCAAGTGGATATTTAGAGCGCTTTGACGCCTATGGTGGAAAAGGAAATATCTTCACATGAAAACTAGACAGAAGCATTCTGAGAAACTTCTTTGTGTTGTGTGCATTCATCTCACAGAGTTGGACTTTCTTTTTGTTGAGCAGTTTGGAAACACTCTTTTTGTAGAGACTGCCATTGGTTATTTGGAGTGCTGTGAATCCTATGGTGGAAAACGTCATATTTTCACATAAGAACTATAAAGCAGGTTTTCTAAAAACAACATTGTGATGTGTACATTCATCTCACATAGGTAAGTGTTTCTTTTCTGAGATCAGTCTGGAAACTCTGTTCTTGTACAATCTCAAAGGAGGTATTTTTGAGCACTTTGAGGCCTATTGTGACAAAGGAAATATCTTCACATTCAAAGTATAAAGAACGTTTCTAAGATACTTCTTTGTGATATGTGCATTCATCTCACAGATTTGAACGTCTCTTTTAATTCAGCCATTTGGAAACAGTCTTTTTGAAGAGTCTGCAAACGGATAGTTGTGAGCACTTTGAGGCCTATGCAGGAAAAGAAGTATCTTCAAAGAAAAATATAAAGAAGGTTTCTGAGAAACTGTTTTTTGATGTCTGCATTCATCTCGCAGAGGAAAACAATTCTTTTCTTTGATCAGTTGGGAAACTCTGTTCTTGTAGGATCTGCTAAGGGACATTTTTGAGTGCCTAGAACCCTATGGTGAAAAAGATATTGTCTTCACATAAAAACTAGACAGAGGCCTACTGAGAAACTTCTTGGTGATGTGTGCATTCATCTCACAGAATTGTAACTTTCTTTTGATTAAGCAGTTTAGAAACGTCTTTTGTGGAATCTGTAAAGGGATATTTCTGATCACTTTGAGGACTATAGTGAAAGAGAAAGTATCGCCTACTGAGAAACTTCTTGGTGATGTGTGCATTCATCTCACAGAATTGAAACTTTCTTTTGATTAAGCAGTTTGAAAACGTCTTTTTGTGGAATCTGTAAGGGGAAATTTCTGAGCACTTTGAGGCCTATGGTGAAAGAGAAAGTATCTTCAAGTAAAAACTAGACTAAAGTTTTCTGAGAAACTGCTTTGTGATGTATGTATTCATCTCACAGAGTTCAACAATTCTTTTGATTGAGCAGTTGGGAAACCGTCTTTTTGTAGAATCTGCAAAGGGATATTTGTGAGCACTTTGAGGTCTATGGTTAAAAGGAAATATGTTCACATAAAAACTATAAAGAAAGTTTGTGAGAAACTTCTTTATGATGTGTGCATTCATCTCACAGAGTTGAACCACTCCTTTGACTCAGCGGTTTGGAAACAGTCTTTTTTTAGGATCTGCAAAGGGATATTTTTGAGCACTTTGAGGCCCATGGTGAAAAAGGAAACACTTTCACATAAAAACGAGATAGAAGCTTTCTGAGAATCATATTTTTGATATGTGCATTCATCCCACAGAGGTGAACCTTTCTTTTGATGAGCATTTTGGAAGCAGTATTTGGTAGAATTTCCAAAGGGTTGTGGTGTGTGCTTTCATCTCACAGAGGTAACCATTTCTTTTCATTGAACAGATTGGAAATTCTGTTCCTGTAAAATCTGCAAAGGGATATTTGTCAGCACTTTGAGGCCTATGGTGAAAAAGGAATTATCTTCACATAAAAACTAGACAGAAGCTTTCTGTGAAACATCTTGGAGATGTGAGAATTCGACTCACAGAGTTGAAACATTCTTTTGATTGGGCAGTTTGTAAACAGTATTTTGGTAGAATCTGCAAAGGGATATTTGTGATGCTTTGAAGCGTATAGTGAAAATGAAATATTTTCACTAGAGAGAAGCTTTCTGAGAAACCTCCTTGTGATGTGTGCATTCATCTCACAGATTTGAAACTTTCTTTGGATTGAGCAATTTGGAAACAGTATTTTTGTAGAATCTGTAAAGTCATATTTTTGAGTGGTGTGAGGCCTATGATGAAATAAGAAATATCTTCACATAAAAACTAGACAGAAGCTTTCCGAGAAACTTCTTTGTGATGTGTGCATTCATCTCGTAGAGTTCAACCATTCTTTTGATTGAACAGTTTGTAAACACTCTTTTTGTAGAGTCTGCAAAGGGATATTTGTGAGTGCTTTGAGGTCTATGGTGAAAAAGGAAATGTATTCACATAAAAAGTATAAGCAAGGTTTCTCAGAAACAGCTTTGTGATGTATGCATTCATCTCACAGAGGTAAACGTTTCTTTTCTCTGATCTGTCTGGAAACTGTACTTGTAGATTCTGCAAAGGGATATTTGTGAGTGCTTTGAGGCCTATGGTGAAAAAGGAAATATCTTCACATAAAAATTAGAGAGAGGTTTTCTGAGAAACCTCTTTGTGATGTGGGCATTCATCTCACAAAGTTGAAACTTACTTTTGATTGATCAATATGGAAACCATCTGTTTGTGGAATCTGCAAAGGGACATTTATGAGAGCTTTGAGGCCAATGGTGAAAAAGGAAATATATTTATATAAAAGGCATAAGGAAGATTTCTTAGAAACAGCTTTGTGGTGTGTGCATTGATCTCAGAGAGGTAAACGTTTATTTTCTATGATCAGTCTGGAAACTCTGTTCTTGTAGAATCTGCAAAGGGATATTTGTGAGTGCTTTGAGGCCTATGATGAAAAAGGAAATATCTTCACATACAAACTAGACAGAAGCCTTGTTAGTGGCTTCTTTGTGATGTGTGCAATCATCTCACAGAGTTGAACCATTCTTTTGATTGAGCAGTCTGGAAACAGTCTTTTTGTAGAAGCTGCAAGGGATATTTGTCACGACTTGGAGTGCTATGGTGAAAAAGGAAATATCTTCACATAAAAAATGGACAGAAGATTTCTGAGAAACATCTTTGAGATGTGTACATCCATCTCACAGAGTTCAACCATTTATTTGATTAAGCAGTTGGGAAGCAGTCTTTTTGCAGAGTCTACAAAGGGATATTGCTGAGCAATTTGAGGCCTGTGTTGAAAAAGGAAATATCTTCACATAAAAACTATAAAGAAGGTTTCTGAGAAACTTCTTTGTGATATGTGCATTCATCTTACTCAGTTCAACCTTTCTTTTGATTGAGCAGTTTGGAAACAGTATTTTTAAATATTCTTCAAGTGGATACTTGTGAGCACCTTGAGGCTCATGGGGAAAAAGTAAACATTCACATGAAAACTTAATAGAAGCTTTCTGAGAAACTACTTTTTGACGTGTGCAATCATCTCACAGAGTTGAACCTTTCTTTTGATGAGCAGTGTGGAAACAATCTTTTTGTAGAATCTGCAAAAGGACAATTTTGAGTGCTTTGCATCCTGTGGTGGAAAAGGAGATACCTTCACAGAAAAACTAGACAGAATGTTTCTCAGAAACCGCTTTGTGATATGTGCAGTCATCTCCCAGATGTGTCTGTTTCTTTTCATTGAGAAGCTTGGAAACTCTTTTCTTGTAAGATCTGCAAAGGGATATTTGTGAGCCCTTTGAGGTGTATGGTGAAAAAAGACATATCTTCACATAAAAACTACACAAAAGCTTTCTGAGAAACATCCTGGTGATGTGAGCATTCACCTCACAAAGTTGAAACATTCTTTTGATTGAGCAACGTGTAAAGAGTCTTTTTGTAAAATCTGCAAAGGGATATTTGTGAATGCTTTGAGGCCAATGGTGAAAAAGGAAATATCTTCACATAAAAACTAGAAAGAAGCTTTCTGAGAAACCTCTTTGTGGTGTGCATACATCTCACAGAGTTGAACCTTTCTTTTGACTGAGCAATTTGGAAGAAGTACATTTGTAGAATCTGTAAAGGGATATTTGTGAGCACTTCCAGGCCTATGGTGAAAAACTAGACAGAAGCATTCTGAGAAACTGCTTCTTGATGTGTGCATTCATCACACAGAGTTGAACCTTTGTTTTGATTGAGCCATTTGGAAACAGTCTTTTTGTAGACTCTGCAAACGGATATTTGGAGCACTTTGAGGTCTATCGTGAAAAAGGAAATATATTCACATAAAAACTAGACTGAAGGATTCTGAGAAACTTCTTTGAGCTGTGTGCATTCATCTGACAGTGTTCAATAATTCTTTTTATTGAGCGGTTTGAAAACAGTCTTTTTGTAGAATCTGCAAAGGGTTATTTGTGAAGGCTTTGAGGCCTATGTTGAAAAAGGAAATATCTTCACAGAAAAACCATAAAGAAAGTTTCTGAGAAAATTCTTTGGATGTGTGCATTCACCACACAGAGTTGAAACATTCTTTGGATTGAGCAGTTTGCAAACAGTCTTTTTGTAGAATCTGCAGAGGGATATTTGTAGCGCTTTGAGGCCTATGGTGAATAAGGAAATATCTTCACATAAAAACTAGACAAAAGTTTTCTGAGAAACTTTTTGTGATGAGTGCATTTATCTCATAGAGTTTAACATTTGTTTTGATTGAGCAGTCTGGAAACAGTCTTTTTGTACAATCTGCAAAGGGATATTTAGAAGCAAGTTGAGGCCTACGGTGGAAAAGGAAATATCTTCACATAAAAACTAGAAAGAAGCATTCTGAGAAACTGCTTTAAGATATGTGTACTCATCTCACAGAGGTAAACATTCCTTTCATTGAGCAGTTTGTAAACTCTGTTATTCTAGAGTCTGCAAAGGGATATTTTTGAGTGCTTTGAGACCCACGTTGAAAAAGGAACTATCTTCACATAAAAACTAGTGAGAGGCTTGTTGAGAAACTACTTTCTGATGTGTGCATTCATCTAACAGAGTTGAAACTTTCTTTTGATTGAGCAGTTTGGAAACAGTCTTTTTGTAGATTCTGCAAAGGTATATTTGGAAGTGCATTGAGGTCTATGTTCAAAAAAGAAATATCTTCACATAAAACTGAGAAGGAAGTTTTCTGAGAAACTTCTTTGTGATGTGCACATTCGTCTCACAGGGTTGAATCATTCTGTTTATTGAGCAGTTTGGAAACAGTCTTTTTGTAGAATCTGCAAAGGGCTATCTGCGAGCGCATTGAGGCGTATGGAGAAAAAGGAAATATCTTCACATTAAAAGTAGAAAGAAGTTTTCTGAGAAACTCCTTTGTGACATGTGCATTTATCACAAAGAAGTAAAAATTTCTTCCCATTGAGCAGTTAGTTTTTATGTGAAGATATTTCCGTTTTCACCATAGACCTCAAACCGCCTACATATATCCCTTTGCAGATTCTACAAAAATACTGTCTCCAAACTGCTCAAAGAAAGCTTCCACTCTGCCAGATGAATACACACATCACAGAGAAGTTTCTCAGGAAGTTTCTGTCTAGTTTTTATTTGTTGATACTCCCTTTTTCACCATAGGCCTCAAACTGCTCATGAATAACTCTTTGAAGATTCTACAAAAAGACTGTTTCCAAACTACTCAATCAAAAGAAAGCTTCAACTCTGTGAGGTGAATGCACACATCACAAAGAAGTTTCTAAGAAAGCTTCTGTCTAGTTTTTATTTGAAGATGTTTCCTTTTTCAATATAGGCCTCAAAGTGCTCACTAATGTCCCTTTACAGATTTTACAAAAAGACTGTTACCAAACTGCTCAACTGAAACAAAGCTTCAACTCTTTGAGATGAATGCACACATCACAAAGAAGTTTCTCAGAAAGCTTCCATCCAGTTTTTATGTGAAGATATTTCCTTTTTCACCATAAGTCTCAAAGCATTCAAATTATCACTTTGCAGATTCTACAAAAAGACATTTTCCAACCTGCTCTATCTAAAGAAAGGTTTAACTCTGTGAGAAGAATGCACACATCAAAAATAAGTTTCTCAGAATGCTTCTGTCTAGTTTTTATCTGAAGACATTTCCTTTTTCACCATAGACCAAAAAGGGATCCCAAATATCTCTTTGTACATTCTACAAAGGACTGTTTCCAAACTGCTCAATCCAAAGACAGGTTCAACTTTTGGGATGAATGCACACATCACAACGAAGTTTCTCAGAAAGCTTCTGTCTCGTTTTTGTGTGAAGATATTACTTTTTTCACCATAGGCTTCAAAGGGCTCACAAATATCGCAAAGCAGATTCTACAAAAAGACTCTATCCAAACTGGTCAAGGAAAAGAAAGCTTCAACTCTGTGTGATGAATGCACACATCACAAAGTAGTTTCTCAGAAGGCTTCTGTCTAGATTTTACTTGTGAATATTTCCTTTTTCACAATAGGCCTCAGAAAGCTCACAAATATCACTTTTCATATTCTACAAAAAGACTGTTTCCAATCTGCTCAATGAAAGAAAATTCAACTCTGTGAGATGAATGCATGCATCGCAAAGTGGTTTCTCAGAATGCTTCTGTCTAGTTTTTATATGAAGATATTTCCTTTTTCATCACATGCCTCAAACCACTCAAAAACATCCCTTTGCAGATTCTCCAAAAAGACTGTTTCCAAACTGCTCAATCAAAAGAAAGATTCAAGTCTTTGAGATGCATACCCCCATCACAAATAAGTTTCCCAGAAAACATGAGTTTAGTTTTTATGTGAAGATATTTCCTTTTTCACCATAAGCCTCAAAGCGTTCAAAAATATCACTTTGCAGGTTCTATGAAAAGTCTGTTTCCAAACAGATCAATCAAAGGAAGTTTCAACCCTGTGAGATGAATGCACACATCACAAAGAAGTTCTTCAGAAAGCTGCTGTCTACATTTTATTTTTCGATATTTCCTTTTTCACCATTGGATTCAAACCACTGAAACATATCACTTTGCAGATTCTACAAAAAGACTGTTTCCAAACTGCCCAATCAAAAGAAAGGTTCAACTCTGTGAGATGAATGCACACATCACAAAGAAGTTTCACAGATAGCTGTTATTATTTTGAGATACATCCCATCAATACCTAATTTATTGAGAGTTTTTAGCATGAAGGGTTGTTGAATTTTGTAAAGGCCTTTTCTGCATCTATTGAGATAATCATGTGGTTTTTGTCTTTGGTTCTGTTTATATGCTGGATTACATTTATTGATTTGCGTATATTGAACCAGCCTTGCATCCCAGGGATGAAGCCCACTTGCTCATGGTGGATAAGCTTTTTGATGTGCTGCTGGATTCGGTTAGCCAGTATTTTATTGAGGATTTTAGCATCAATGTTCATCAAGGATATTGGTCTAAAATTCTCTATTTTGGTTGTGTCTCTGCCCGGCTTAGGTATCAGGATGGTGCTGGCTTCATAAAATGAGTTAAGGAGGATTCCCTCTTTTTCTATTGATTGGAATAGTTTCAGAAGGAATGGTATCAGTTCCTCCTTTTACCTCTGGTAGAATTCGGCTGTGAATCCATCTGATCCTGGACTCTTTTTGGTTGGTAAGCTATTGATTATTGCCACAATTTCAGAGCCTATTATTGGTCTATTCAGAAATTCAACTTCTTCCTGGTTTAGTCTTGAGAGGGTGTATATGTCAAAGAATTTATCCGTTTCTTCTAGATTTTCTAGTTTATTTGCATAGAGGTGTTTGTAGTATTCTCTGATGGTAGTATGAATTTCTGTGGGATCGGTGGTCATATCCCCCTTATCATTTTTTATTGCATCTATTTGATTCTTCTCTTTTTTCTTCTTTATTAGTCTTGCTAGTGGTCTATCAATTTTGTTGATCCTTTCAAAAAACCAGCTCCTGGATTCATTAATTTTTGGAAGGGATTTTTGTGTCTTTATTTCTTTCAGTTCTGCTCTGATTTCAGTTATTTCTTGCCTTCTGCTAGCTTTTGAATGTGTTTGCTCTTGCTTTTCTAGTTCTTTTAATTGTGATGTTAGGGTGTAAGTTTTGGATCTTTCTTGCTTTCTCTTGTGGGCATTTAGTGCTATAAATTTCCCTCTAAACACTGCTTTGAATGTGTCCCAGAGATTCTGGTATGTTGTGTGTTTGTTCTCGTTGGTTTCATGCTGCTATAAGGACACATGCACATGTATGTTTATTGCGGCACTATTCACAATAGCAAAGACTTGGAACCAACCCAAATGTCCAACAATGATAGACTGGATTAAGAGAATGTGGCACATATACACTATGGAATACTATGGAGCCATAAAAAATGATGAGTTCATGTCCTTTGTAGGACATGGATGAAATTGGAAATCATCATTCTCAGTCAACTATCACAGGGACAAAAAACCAAACACCACATGTTCTCACTCATAGGTGAGATTTGAACAATGAGAACACATGGACACAGGAAGGGGAACATCACACTCTGGGGACTGTTGTGGGGTGGGGGGAGTGGGGAGGGATAGCATTAGGGGATATACCTAATGCTAAATTATGAGTTAATGGGTGCAGGACACCAGCGTGGCACATGTATACATATGTAACTAACTTGCACATTGTGCACATGTACCCTAAATAAAATAAAATAAAAAGAAAGTGCACATCACAAAGAAGTTTCTCAGAAAGTTTCTTTCTAGTTTTTATGTGAAGATATTTCCTTTTTCACCATAGTCCACAAAGTGCACCAAATATCTTTTGCAGATTGCACAAAAAGAGTTTTTCCAAACTGCTCAATCAAAAGAAAGGTTCAACTCTGTGAGATGAAAGCACAAATCACAAAGAAGTTACTCAGAATGCTTCTGTCTAGTTTTTAAGTGAAGGTATTTCCTGTTACACCATAGGCCTCAAAGGACTCACAAATATCCTTTTTCAGATTCTACAAAAAGTCTGTTACAAAACTGCTCAATGAAAAGTAAGTTTCAACTCTGTGAGATGAATTCACACCTAAAAAATAAGTTTCTCAGAATGCTTCTGTCTAGTTTTTATGTGAAGATATTTCTTTTTCACCGTAGGCCCCAAACCCCTCAGAAATATCCTTTTGCAGATTGTAGATAAAGACTGTTTCCTAACTGCTCAATCAAAAGAACAGTTCAACTCTGTGAGATGAAAGCACACATCACAAAGAAGTTTCTCAGAAATCTTCTGTCTAGTTTTTACGTGAAGATATTTCCCTTCTAATGATAAGCCTCAAAGCAATCCAATTATCGATTTGCACATTCTACAAAATACTGTTTCCAAACTGCTTAATCAAAAGAAATTTTCAACTCTGTGAGATGAAAGCACACATCACAAAGAAGTTTTCAGAAAGTTTCTCACTAGATTTTATGTGAAGATATTTAGTTTTTCACCACAAGCCACAAAGTGCTCCAAATATCTTTTTGCAGATACTTCAAAAAGAGTTTTTCCAAACTGCTCAATCAAAAGAAAGTTTCAACTCTGTGAGATGAATGCAAACATCACAAAGAAGTTTCTCAGAATGCTTCTGTCTAGTTTTCCTGTGAAGATATTTCCCATTTCACCATGGGCCTCAGTGGGTTCACATATATCCTTTTCCAAATTCTACAAAAAGACTGTTTCTGAATTTCTCAATGAAAAGAAAGGTTCAACACTGGGAGATGAATGCACACATGAATAAGAAGTTTCTCAGAATGCCTCTGTCCAGTTTTTGTGTTAAGATATTTGTTTTTCACTATAGGCCTCAAATGGCTCAGCAATATCCCTTTGCAGATTGTACAAAAAGATGGTTTCCAAACTGCTCAATGAAAACAAAGGTTCAACACTGTGACATGAATACTCACATCACAGAGAAGTTTTTCAGAAAGCTTCTGTTAAGTTTTTAGGTGAAAATATTTCCTTTTTCACCATAGGCCTCAAAGCAATCCAAATATCCTTTTGCAAACTCTACAAAAAGAGAGTTTCCAAACTGTTCAATTAAAAGAAAGACTCAAATCTGTGAGAAGAAAGTACACATCATGAAGAAGTTTCTCATAATTCTTCTGTCTACTTTTCTTGTGAAGATATTTCCTATATCACCATAGGCCTCAAAGTCTCACAAATATCCCTTTGCAGACTCTACAAAAAGACAGTTTTCAAACTGCTAAGTGAAAAGAAAGGTTCAACTCTGTGAGACGAATGCACACATAATAAATTAGTTTATCATAATGCTTCTGTCTAGTTTTTATGTGAAGATATTTCTTTTTCACCATAGGCATCAAACCGTTCAGAAATATCCCTTTGTAGATTGTACAAAAAGACTGTTTCCAAACTGCTCAATCAAAAGAAAGGTTCAAACCAGTGAGATGAATGCACACATAACAGAGAAGTTTCTCAGAAATCTTCTGTCTTGTTTTTATGTGAAGATATTACCTTTCTCAACATAGGCCTCAAAGCAATCCAAACATCCATTTGCAGATTCTACAAAAAGACTGTTTCCAAACTGATCAATCAAAACAAATTTTTACCTCTCTGAGATGAAAGCACACATCACAAAAATGTTACTCAGACAGCTTCTCTCTAGTATGTATGTGAAGATACTTCCTATTTCACCTGAGGCCATAAAAGGCTCACAAATATCCCTTTGAAGGTTTTAAAAAAAAACTGTTTCCAAATTGCTCAATCAAAAGAAAGGTTCAACTCTGTGAGATGAATGGACACATCACAAAGAAATTTCTCAGAATGATTCTGTCTAGTTTTTATGTGAAGATATTTCTCTTTCACCATAGGCCTCAAACGGATCAGAATTATCCCTTTGCAGATTGTACAATAAGTCTCTTTCCAACCTGCTCACTCAAAAGAAAGGTTCAACTCTGTGAGATGAATGCACACATCACAAGGAAGTTTCTCAGAAAACTTCTGTTTAGTTTTTATGGGAAGATATTTCGTTTTTCACCATGGGCCTCAAAAGCTCTCCAAATATCCATTTGCAGATTTTAGAAAAAGAGTGTTTCCAAACTCCTCAATCAAAAGGAAGTTTCAATTCTGTGAGATGAAAGCACACATCACAAAGAAGATTCTTAGAAAGCTTCTGTCTAGTTTTTATGTGAAGATATTTCACATTGCACCATAGTAATCAATGGGCTCAGAAATATCCCTTTGCAGATTCTACAAGAGAACTGTTTCCAAACTTCTCAATCCAAAGACAGTTTCAACTATGTGAGATGAATGCACACATCACACAGAAGTTCCTCAGAATGCTTCTGTCTAGTTTATATGTGAAGAAAATTCCTATTTCACCATAGGCAATACAGGGCTCACAAATATTTTCTGCAAATTCTACAAAAATACTGTATCCAAACTGCTCAATAAAAAGAAAGTTTCAACTCTGTTAGATTAATGGATACATCAAAAAGTAGTTTCTCAGAAAACTTCTGTTTAGTTTTTACATGAAGATATTTCCTTTGTCACCATTGGCCTCAAAGTCCTCCTAATATCCATTTACAGATTTCACAAAAAGAGTGTTTCCAAACTGCTCAATCAAAAGAAAGTTTTAACTCTGTGAGATGAAAGCATACATCTCAAAGAAGTTTCTCAGAAAGCTTTGGTCTAGTTTTCATGTGAAGATATTTCCAGTTTCACCATAGACCTCAAAGGGCTAAGAAATATCCCTTTCCAGATTCTAAAAGACGACCATTTCCATACTGCTCAATCAAAAGAAAGGTTAAATTCTGTGAGGTGAATGCACACATCATAAAGAAATTTCTCAGAATTCTCCTGTCTAGTTTTTATGTGAAGATATTTACTATTTCACTATAGGCTTCAAATGTCTCAAAAATATCCCTTTGCAGATTCTACAAAAATATGGTTTCCAAAGTGCTGAATTAAAAGAAACTTTCAACTCTGTCAGATGAATGGAGACATCACAAAGAAGTTCCTCAGAATGCTTCTGTCTAGTTTCAATGTGAAGATATTTCTTTTTCACCATAGACCTCAAATGGCTCAGAAATATACCTTTGCAGATTGCAGAAAAAGACTGTTTCTAAACTGCTCAAACAAAATAAAGTTTCAACACTGTGAGATGAATGCGCACATCACAAAGAAGTTTCTCAGAAAGCTTCTGTCTAGTTTTTATGTGAAGATATTTCCTTTTTCACCACAGGCCTTAAACTGCTCACAAATATCCTTCTGCAGATACTATAAAAAGACTGTTTCCAAACTGCTCCATCAAAAGAAAAGTTCACCTCTCTGAGGTGAATGCACACATCACAAAGAATTTTCTCAGACTTCTTCTGTCTAGTTTTTATGTGAAGATATTTCCATTTTCACCTTAGGCCACAAAGTGCTCCAAATATCCATTTGCAGATTATACAAAAAGACTGTTTCCAAACTGCTCAATCAAAAGAAATTTTCAACTCTGTGAGATGAAAGCACACATCACAAAGAAGTTTCTCAGAAATCTTCTGTCTAGTTTTTATCTCAAGATAATTCCTATTTTGCCATAGGAATCAATGGGCTCACAAATATCCCTTTGCAGATTCTACAAAAGTTCTGTTTCCAAACTGCTCAATCAAAAGAAACGTTCAACATTGTGAGATGAATGCACACATCACAAAGAAGTTTCTCGGAATGCTTCTGTCTGGTTATTATGTGAAGATATTTCCTTTTCACCATAGTCTTTAAACCACTCAAAAATATCCCTCTGCAGATACTACAAAAAGACTGTTTCCAAACTGGTCCATATAGAATGTTTCAACTATATGAGATGAATGCACTCATCACAAAGAAGTTTCTCAGAATTCTTCTGTCTAGTTTTTATGTGAAGATATTTTCTTTTTCACCATAGGTCTCACATTGCTCCAAATATCCATTTGCAGATTCTACAAAAAGAATGTTTCCAAACTGTTCAATCAAAAGAAAGGCTCAAATCTGTGAGACAAAAACACACATCACAAAGTTTCTCAGAAAGCTTCTGTCTACTTTTTATGTGAAGGAATTTCCTTTTGCACCATAGGCCTTAAATCGCTCACAAATATAACTCCACTTATACTACCAAGAGACTCTCTCCAAATTGCCAAATCAAAAGAAAGGTTCAACTCTGTGAGAAGAATGCACACTTCACAAAGAAGTTTCTCAAAATGCTTCTGTCTAGTTTTCATGTGAAGATATTTATTTTTCACCATTGACCTCAAACTGCTCAGAAATATCCCTTTGCATTTTGTACAAAAAGACTGTTTCCAAACTGCTCAATGAAAAGAAATGGTCAACTCTTAGAGATGAATGGAAATGTCACAAAGAGATTTCTCAAAAAGCTACTGTGTTGTTTTTATGTGAAGATATTTCCTTTTTCACTCTAGGCCTTAAAACGCTCCAAATATACATTTGCAGATTCTACAAAAAGACTCTTTCCAAACTGCTCAATCAAAATAAAGGTTCAAATCTGTGAGATGAAAGCCCACGTCACAAAGAAGTTTCTCAGAAAGTTTCTATCTTGTTTTTATGTGAAGATATTTCCTATTTCACCTTTGGCCTCAAAGGGATCACAAATATCCCTATTCAGATTTTACAAAAAACTGTTTCCGAACTGCTTCATCAAAAGAAAGGTTCAACTCTGTGAGATCAATGCACACATAAAAAATTAGTTTCTCAGAATGCTTCTGTCTAGTTTTTATGTGAAGATATTACTTTTTCACCATAGGTCTCAAACTGCAAACCAATATTCCTTTACAGATTGCACAAAAAGTATGTTTCCACACTGCTCAATGAACAGAAAGGTTCAACTCAGTGAGATGAATGCAAACATCACAAAGAGTTTTCTCAAAATGCTTCTGTCTAGGTTTTAGGTGAAGATATTTACTTTTTCACCATAGGCCTCAAACCACTCACAAATATCCCTTTTCAGATTCTACAAAATGACTTGTTGCCAAACTGCTCAATGAAAAGCAAAGTCTAAATCTGTGAGATGAAAGTACACATCACAAAGAAGTTTCTCAGAAAGTTTCTGTCTAGTTTTTATAAGCAGATATTTTCTTTTTCACCATAGGCCTCAAAGCACTCCAAATATCCATTTGCAAGTTCCACTAAAAGAGTGTTTCCAAACTGCTCAGTCAAAAGAGATGTTCAACTCTGTGAGTTGAAAGCACACAACACAAATAAGTTTTACAGAAAGCTTCTGTCTAGTTTTTATATGAAGACATTTCCTATTTCACCATAGGCCCCCTATGTGTTCACAAACATCCCTTTGCAGATTCTACAAAAGGACTCTTTCCAAACTGCTCAATCCAAGGAAAGTTTCAACTCTTTGACATGAATGCACACATCACAAAGAAGTTTCTCAGAATACTTCTGTCTAGTTTTTATGTGAAGAAATTTCCTGTTCACTAT
Organism: Homo sapiens; assembly: GCF_000001405.40. Classification (NCBI taxonomy): domain Eukaryota; kingdom Metazoa; phylum Chordata; class Mammalia; order Primates; family Hominidae; genus Homo; species Homo sapiens. Next base: position 28,908,237 of record NC_000020.11, on the reverse strand, counting down.
AGGCCTGAAACACTGCAAATATCCATCTTCAGATTTGACAAAAAGAATGTTTCCAAACTGCTCAATCAAAAGAAAAGTTCAACTCTGTTAGATGAAAGCACGCATCACAAAAAAGTTTCTCAGAAAGCTTCTGTCTAGTTTTTTTGTGAAGATATTCTCTATTTCACCATAGGCCTGAAAGGGCTCACAAATATCCTTTTGCATATTATACAAAAAGACTGTCTCCAAACTGCTCAATCAGAAGAAAATTTCAACTATGTGTGATGAATGCACACATTACAAAGAAGTTTCTCACAATACTTTTGTCTAGTTTTTATATGAAGATATTTCTCTCTCGATGGGCCTCAAATGGCTCAGAAATATCCCTTTGCAGATTGTTCAAAAAGACTGTTTCAAAACTGCTCAATCAAAAGAAAGTTTCAACATTGTGAGGTGAATGCACACATCCAAAGAAGTTTCTCAGAAAGCTTCTGTTAAGATTTCATGTGAAGATATATCCTTTTTCACCATAGGCCTCAATGGGCTCAGAAGTATCCCTTTGTAGATTCTGCAAAAGGTCTGTTTAGAAAACTGCTCAATCCAAAGAAAGGTTCAACTCTGTGAGATGAATGCACACATCTCAAAGAAGCTTCTCACAATGGATCTGTCAAGGTTTTCTGTGAAGATATATCCTTTTCAACCATAGGCCTTAAACTGCTCATGAATATCCCTCTGCAGATACTACAAAAAGACTGTTTCCAAACTGCTGCATCCAAAGAAATGTTCAACTCTTTGAGATGAATACACATATCACAAAGAAGTTTCTCAGAATGCTTCTGTCTGGTTTATATGTGAAGATATTTCCTTTCTCACCATAGGCCTCAAAATGCTCCAAATATGCATTTACAGACTCTACAAAAAGAGCATTTCCAAACTGCTCATTCAAACGATAGGTTCAACTCTGTGAGAAGAAAGCACACATCACAAAGTAGTTTCTCAGAAAGCTCCTGGCTAGTTTTTATGTGAAGATATTTCCTTTTTCAACATAGGCTGTAAAGGGATCACAAATATTTTTTACAGATTCTACAAAAAGACTGTGTCCAAACTGCTCAATCCAAAGAAAGGTTCAACTCTGTGAGATGAATGGACACATCACAAAGAAGTTTCTCAGAATGCATCTGTCCAGTTTTTATGTGAAGATATTTCTTTTCCACCGTAGGCCTCAATGGGCTCAGAAATATCCCTTTGCAGATTCTAAAAAAGGACGGTTTCCAAACTGCTCAATCTAAAGAAAGTTTTGCCTCGGTGAGTTGAATGCACACATCACAGAGAAGTTTCCCACAATGCTTCTGTCTAGTTTTTATGTGAAGGTATTCCCTTTTTCACCACAGACCTCAAACCACTCACAAATATCCCTCTGCAGATACAACAAAAGGACTGTTTCCAATCTGCTCAATCAAAAGATAGTCTCAACAACGTGAGATGAATGTACACGTCACAAAGAAGTTTCTCAGAATGCTTCTGTCTAGTTTTAATGTGAAGATATTTACTTTTTCACCATAGGCCTCAAACCACGCAAAACATCCATTTGCAAATTCCACAAAAAGACTGTTTCCAAACTGCTCAATCAAAAGAAAGGTTCAACTCTGTGAGGTGAAAGCACACATCACAAAGAAGTTTCTCAGAAAGCTTCTGTCTAGTTTTTGTGTCAGTATATTTCCTATTTCACCACAGGCCTCAAAGGAATCATAAATATCCCTTTGCAGATTCTACAAAAAGAGTGTTTCCGAACTGCTCAATGAAAAGAAAGTTTCAACTCTGTGAGGTGAATGCACACATAAAAAAAGAAGTTTCTCAGAATGCTTCTGTCTAGTTTATATGTGAAGATATTACTTTTTCACTATAGGCCTCAAAGCACTCAGAAATATCCCTTTGCACTTTGTATAAAAATACTCTTTCCAAACTGCTCAATGAAAAGAAAGATTCATCTCTGTGAGATGAATCCACACTTAAAAAATAAGTTTCTCAGAATGCTTCTGTCTAGTTTAATGTGAAGATATTTCCTTTTTCACCATAGGCCTTAAAGTGCTCACAAATATCCCTCTGCAGATACTACAAAAAGACTGTTTCCAAACTGCTCCAAGAAAAGAAAGGTTCAACTCTGTGAGATGAATGCACACATCACACAGGAGTTTCTCAGAATGATTCTGTCTACTTTTTATGTGAAGATAATTCTTTTTCACCATAGGCATCAAATGGCTCAAAAATATCCCTTTGCAGATTGTACAAAAGGATGGTTTCCAATCTGCTCAATCAAAAGGATCAGATCTGTGATATGAGTCCACGCATCACAAATAAGTTTCTCAGAAAGCTTCTTTTTAGTGTTTTGGTGAAGATATTTCCTTTTTCTCCATAGGCCTAAAAGTGCCGCAAATATCCATTTGCGGATTCTACAAAAAGGCTGTTTCCAAACTGCTCAATCAAAAGAAAATTTCTCCTCTGTGAAATTAAAGCACACATCACAAAGCATTTTCTCAGATTCTGTCTAGTTTTTATGTGAAGGTATTTCCTATTTCACCTTAGGCTGTAAAGGGCTCACAAATATCAATTTGCATATTCAGAAAAAAGACTGTTTCCAAACTGTTCAAACAAAAGAAAGATTCAACTCTGTGAGATGAATGCACACATCAGAAAGAGATTTCTCAGAATGCTTCTGTCTAGTTTTTATGTGAAGATATTTATTTTTCACCGTCAGCCACAAACGGCTCAGAAATATCCCTTTGCAGATCTTACAAAAAGACTGTTTCTAACCTGCTCAATCAAAAGAAAGTTTCAACGCTGAGAGACGAATGCACACATCACAAAGAAGGTTCTCAGAAAGCTTCTGTTTTGCTTTTATTTGAAGATATTTCCTTTTTCACCATAGGACTCAGTGGGCTCAGAAATATCCCTTTGCAGATTCTACAAAAGGACTGTTTAGAAAACTGCTGAATCCAAAGAATGATTCAACCCTGTGAGATGAATGCACACATCACATAGAAGTTTTGCAGAATGCATCTGTCTAGTTTTTATGTGAAGATATTTCTTTTTTCACCATAGGCCTCAAAGCGCTCCAAATACTCATTTGTAGATTCTACAAAAAGAGTGTTTCCAATCTGCTCTATCAAAAAGAAAGGTTCAATCCTGTGACAAGGACCATGGGCCATATAGGGCTCACAAATATTTTTTGCAAATTCTACAAAAAGACTGTTTCCAAACTGCTCAATCCAAAGAAAATTTCAACTCTGTGAGATGAATGGACACACCACAAAAAAGTTTATCAGAATGCTTCTATCTAGTTTTTATGTGAAGATATTTCTTTTTCACCCTAGGCTTCAATGGGCTCAGAAATATCCCTTTGCAGATTCTACAAAAGGACTGTTTCCAAACTGCTCAATCAAAGAAAGGTTCAACTCTATAAGATGAATGTACACATCACATGGATGTTTCTCACAATCCTTCTATTTTTTATATGAAGGTATTTCCTTTTTGACCATGGGCCTCAAAGTGCTCAAAATATCCATTTGCTGATTCCACAGAAAGACTGTTTCCAAAATCCTCAATCAAAGAAGGATTCAACTGTATGAGATGAATGCACACATCACAGAGATGTTTCTTACAATGCTTCTGTCTCTTTTTTATGTGAAGGTATTTCCTTTTTCGCCATAGGCCTCAAAGCGCTCCAAACATCCATTTGCTGATTCCGCAAAAAGACTGTTTCTAAACTGCTCAATCAAAAGAAAGCTACAACTCCGTGTGTTGAAAGCACACATCACAAAGACGTTTCTCAGAAGGATTCTGTCTAGTTTTTCTGTGAGGATATTTCCTGTTTCACCATGGGCCATAAAGGGCTCAAATATATTTTTCGCAGATTCTACAAAAAGACTGTTTCCAAACTGCTCAATCCAAAGAAAGGTTCGACTCTGTGAGATGAATGGACACAAGACAAAGAAGTTTCTCAGAATACTTCTGTCTAGGGTTTATGTGAGATATTTCCTTTTTCACCATAGGCTTCAAAGCGCTCCAAATATCCATTTGCAGATTCCACATAAAGACTGTTTCCAAATTGCTCAATGAAAAGAGAGTTTCAACTCTGTGAGCTGAAAGCTCACATCAGAAAGAAGTTTCTCAGAATGTATCTTTCTAGTTTTTTTGTGAAGATATTTTCTTTTTCACCATAGGCCTCAAAGCACTCCAAGTATCCATTTGCAGATTCTACCAAAAGACTGTTTACAAACTGCTAAATCAAAAGAAAGTTTCAGCTCTGTGATATGAATGCACGCATCACAAAGAAGTTTCTCAGAAAGCTTCTGTTTAGTGTTTATCTGAAGATATTTCCTTTTTCACCATAGGCCTCAAAGCTCTCCAAATATGCATTTCCAGATTCTATAAAAAGTCTGTTTCGAAACTGCTCAATGAAAAGAAAGGTTCAACTCTGTGAGATGAAAGCACATATCACAAAGAAGTTTCTCAGAATGTTTATTTCTAGTTTTTTTGTGAAGATATTTCCTTTTTCACCATAGGCCTCAAAGCACTCCAAATATCCATTTGCAGATTCTACAAAAAGTCTGTTTACAAACTGCTCAATCAAAACAAGGTTTCAACGCTGTGAGATGAATGCACGCATTACAAAGTAGTTTCTCAGAAAGCTTCTGTTTAGTTTTTATGTGAAGATATTTGCTTTTCCACCATAGGCCTCAAAACTCTCCAATTATCCATTTGCAGATTATGCAAAAAGCGTGTTTCCAAACTGCTCAGTCAAAAGAAATGCTTACCTCTTTGAGATGAAACCACTCATTAAAAATAAGTTTCTCAGAAAGCTTCTGTCTAGCTTTTATGTGAAGATATTTCCTATATCACCAAAGGCCTCAATCGGCTGAGAAATACCCCTTTGGCGATTCTACAATAGGAATGTTTCCAAACTGCTCTAGCAAAAGAAAGGTTCAAATCTGTGAGATGAATGAACACATCAGAAAAAAGTTTCTCAGAAAGTTTCTGTGTAGTTTTTATGTGAAGATATTTCCTAGTTCATCATAGGCCTCAAAGGGTTCACAATTATCCCTTTGTAGATTTTACAAAAAGACTGTTTCCAAATATTCAATCAAAGAAATGTTCAGCTGTGTGAGAAGAATGCAAGCCTCAAAAAGAAGTTTCTCAGAATTCTTCTGTCGAATTTTTATGTGATGATATTTCCTTTTTTACCACACGCCTCAAAGTGCTCCAAATATCCATTTGCAGATTCTACAAAAAGAGTGTTTCCAAAATGCTCAATCAAAAGAAAAGTTCAACTCTGTGAGATGGAAGCACACATCACAAAGAAGTTTCTTAGAAACCTTCTGTCTAGTTTTAATGGGAAGATATATCATATTTCACCATAGACCTCAGTGGGCTCAGAGATATACCTTTGCAGATTCTACAAAAGGATTGTTTCCAAACTGCTCAATCCAAAGAAAGGTTCAACACTGTGAGATGAATTCACACATCACAAAGAAGTTTCTCAGAAACCTTCTGTCTAGTTTTTATGTGAAGATATTTCCTTGTTCACCATAGGCCTCAAATTCTTGCAAACATCCCTCTACAGATACTACAAAAAGACATTTTCCAAACCGTTCAATAAAAAGAAGGGTTCAACTCTGTGTGATAAATGCACACATCACCAAGAAGTTTCTCAGAATGCTTCTGCCTAGTTTTTATGTGAAGATGTTTCCTTTCTCACAAAGACCTCACACCGCTCCAAATATCCATTTGCAGATTCTGCAAAAAGATGGTTTCCAAACTTCTCAATGAATAGAAAGATTCAAATCTGTGAGATAAAAGCACACATCACAAAGTAGATTCATAGAATGTTGCTTTCTAGTTTTTATGTGAAGATATTTCCTTTTTCACCATAGTACTCAAACTGCTCCAAATATCCATTTGCAGATTCTACAAAAAGTGTGTTTCCAAACTGCTCAATCAAAAGAAAGGTTCTACTCTGTGAGATGAAAGCACATATCACAAAGATGTTTCTCAGAAATCTTCTGACTAGTTTTTATGTGAAGATATTTCCTATTTCACCATAGGCCTCAATGGGCTCACAAATATCCCTTTGCAGATTCTACAAAAGGACTGTTTTGAAGCTGCTCAATCAGAAGAAAGGTTAAACTCTGTGAGATGAATGCATACATCACAAAGAAGTTTCTTAGAATGCTTCTGTCTAGTTTTCAGGTGAAGATATTTCTTTTTTCACCATAGGCCTCAAAGCGCTCCAAATATCCATATCCATATTCTACAAAAATGCTGTTCCCAAACTCCTCAATCAAAAGAGAGGTTCAACTCTGTGTGATGAAAGCACACTTCATGAAGAAGTTTCTCAGAATGCCTCTGTCTAGTTTTTATGTGAAGATATTTCCTATTTCACCTTAGGCCATAAAGGGCTCACAAATATCCCTCTGCAGATTCTAGAAAAGAACTCTTTTCAAATTGCTAAATAAAAAGAAAAGTTCAACTCTGTGAGATGAATGCACACATCGCAAAGAAGTTTCTCTGAAAGCTTCTGTCCACTTTTTATGTGAAGATATTTCCCTTTTCACCATACCTATCAAAGCGCTCAAAATATCCCTTTGCAAATTCTCTGAAAAGACTGTTTCCAAACTTCTCAATCAAAAGAATGGTTCAACTTTGTGAGATGAATGCACATATCACAAAGAAGTTTCTCTGAAACCTTCTGTGTAGTTTTTATGTGAAGATATTTCCTTTTTCACCATAGGCCTCAAGCCACTCGCAAATATCCCTTTGCAGATTTTGCAAGAACAGAGTTTCCAGACTCATCAAAGAATAGAAACTTTTTTCTCTCTGAGATGAGTGCACACCTTGCAAAACAGCTTCTCAGAAACATTCTTTATAGTTTTTATTGAAGATATTTCCTTTTTCACCATAGGCCTCATAGAGCTGAAAAATATCCCTTTGCAGATTCTACAAAAAGTCTTTTTAAAAACTTCTCAATCAAAAGAATGGTTCAACTCTGTGAGATGAATGCACACATCACAAAGAGGTTTCTCAGAAATCTGTCTAGTGTTTATGTGAAGATATTTCCTTTCTCACCATAGGCCTCAAAGTGCTCATAAATATCCCTTTGCAGATTCTACAAATTGACAGTTTTCAAACTGTTCAGTCAAAAGACTGTTTCAACTATGTGAGATGAATGCACACATGACAGGGAGGTTTCTCAGAGAACTTCTGTCTATTTATTATGTGAAGGTATTTCCTTTTTCACCAAAGGCCTCAAAGCGCTCACAAATATCTCCTTGCAGATTCTACAAGAACAGAGTATCCAAACTGATTAATCAAAAGAATGCTTCACATAAAATCTCTAGAAGAAATCCTAGGCAAGACCATTCAGGACATAGGCATGGGCAAGGACTTCATGTCTAAAACACCTAAAGCAATGGCAACAAAAGCCACAATTGACAAATGGGATCTAATTAAACTAAGGAGCTTCTGCACAGCAAAAGAAACCACCATCAGAGTGAACAGGAATCTTACAGAATGGGAGAATATTTTTGCAACCTACTCATCTGACAAAGGGCTAATATCAGGAATCTACAATGAACTCAGACTAATTTACAGGAAAAAAACAAACCCATCAAAAAGTGTGTGAAGTATATGAGAAGACATTTCTCAAAAAAAGACATTTATGCAGCCAATGAACAAATGAAAAAATGCTCATCTTCACTGGCCATCAGAGAAATGCAAGTCAAAACCACAATGAGATACCATTTCACACCAGTTAGAATGGTGATCATTAAAAAGTCAGGAAACAACAGGTGCTGGAGAGGATGTGAGAAATAGGAACACTTTTGCACTGTCAGTTGGAGTGTAAACTAGTTCAACCATTGTGGAAGTTGGTATGGTGATTCCTCAGGGATCTAGAACTAGAAATACCATTTGACCTAGCCATCCCATTACTGGGTATATACCCAAAGGATTATAAATCATGCTGCTATAAAGACACATGCACACGTATGTTTATAGCGGCACTATTCACAATAGCAAAGACTTGGAACCAATGTAAATGTCCAACAACGAAAGACTGAATGAATAAAACGTGGCACATATCCATCATGGAACACTATGCGGCCATAAAAAATGATGAGTTCATGTCCTTTGTAGGGACATGGATGAAGCTGGAAACCATCATTCTCAGCGAACTATCGCAAGGACAAAAAAATAAAACACCACATGATCTCACTCATAGCTGGGAATTGATCAAAGAGAACACATGGACACAGAAAGAGAACCATCACACACCACAAACCAGGGAGTGTAGTCCAGTGTGGGGAGGGGGAGGGATAGCCTTAGGAGATACACCTAATGCACACAAACATGACACATGAATACATATGTAACAAACCTACACGTTGTACACATGTTCCCTAAAACATAAAGTATAATAATAATAAAAGTAAATAAATAAATAATTAAACTGAGAGCTCCAAAAAAAATAAGAATGGTTCAACTCTATGAGATGAATGCACACATCACAAATAAGTTTCTCAGAAAGTTTCTGTCTACATTTTATATGAAGATATTTCCCTTTTCACCATAGGAGTCAAAGCACTCACAAATATCCCTTTGCAGATTCTACAAGAAAAGAGTTTCCCATCTGCTCAATGAAAAGAAATGTTTACCTCTGTGAGATGAATGCACACATTACAAAGCAGTTTCTCAGAAACCTTCTGTCTAGTTTTTATGTGAAGATATTTACTTTTTCCCCATAGGCCTCAAAGTGCTCACAAATATCCTCTGTTGATTCTACAAAAAGACTGTTTCCAAACTGCTCAATCAATAGAATGGTTCAAATGATTCAGATGAGTGCACACATAACACAGAAGTGTCCCAGAAAGCTTCCGTCTAGTTTTCATGTGAAGATATTTCCTTTTCCACCATTGGCCCCCAAGTGTTCACAAATAATCCTTTGCAGATTCTACAAAAAGATGGTTTCCAATACACTCAATCAATAGAAAGGCTCAATTCTGTGAGATGAATTCACACATCAAAAAACAGTTTCTCAGAAAACTTCTTTCTAGTTTTTCTGTGAAGATATTTCCTTTTTCACCATAGGCTTCAAAGCGCTCACAAATATCCTTTTGCAGATTCTACAAAAAGACTGTGACCAAAATGCTCAATCAATAGAATGGTTCAACTCTGTGAGATGAATGCACACATCACAAAAAAGTTTCTCAGAAAGATTCTGTTTAGTTTTCATGTGAAGATTGGAGTGCAGTGGAATGGAATGGAATCGAATGGGATGGAATGGAAGGAAATGGAATGGAGTGAAGTGGAATGGAATGGAACGGAATGGAGTGGAGTGGAGTGATGTGGATTGGACTGGAGTGGAGTGGAGAGGAATGGAATGGAGTAGAATGGAAAGGAGTGGAGTGGAATGGAATGGAGTGGAGTGGAGTGGAATAGAGTGGAGTGGAATGGAGTGGAATAGAATGGAGTGGAATAGAATGGAGTGGAGTGGAATGGATTGGAGTGGAGTGAAGTGGAGTGGATTGGAGTGGAGTGGAGATGAAAGGAGTGGAATGGTATGGAATGGAATTGAATGGAATGGAGTGGAATGGAATGGAGTGGAGTGGAGAAGAGTGGAATGGAGTGGAATGTAGTGGAATGGAGTGGAGTGCAGTGGAGTTGAGTATAGTGGATTGGAATGCAGTGGAATGTAATGGAATGGAATGGAGTGGAATGGAGTGGATTGGAGTGGAGTGGAGAGGAATGGAGTGGAATGGCATGGAGTGGAGTGGAATGGAATGGAACGGAATGGAATGGAAGGGAAAAGAACGGAATGAAACAGAACGGAACGGAAAGAAGTACAGTGGAGTGGAGTTGAGTAGAGAGGATCAGAGTGGAGTGGAATGGAATGGAATGGAACGGAATGGAATGGAATGGAATGGAGTAGAGTGGAATGGAGTGGACTGGAGGGGAGGGGAGTGGAATAGAGTGGAATGGAATGGAATGAAATGGAATGGAATGGAATGTAGTAGAATGGAATGGAATGGAGTGGAAAGGAGTGGAGTGGAATGGAATGGAGTGGAGTGGAATGGAATGGAGTGGAGTGGAATGGAATGGAATGGAATGCAATGCAATGGAATGGAACGGAATGAAATGAAGTGGAATGGAGTGGAGTACAGTTGAGTGGAGTGAATCGGAGTGGAGTGGAATGGAATGGAATGGAATGGCAAGGAATAGAGTGGAGTGGAATGGAATGGATTGGAGTGGAGTGGAATGGAAAGGAATGGAATGGAAAGCAATAGAATGGAATGGAATGGTGAAATGTAATGTGAGCTAAGATTGTGCCACTGTACTACAGTCTGGGTGACAGAGTGACATCCAGTAGAAATAAAGGAATGGAAAGGAATAGAGTAGAGTGGAATGGAATGGAGTGGAGTGGAATGGAAAGGAGTGCAATGGAACGGAATGGTACAAAACGGAATGCAATGGAATGCAATGGAGTGTAGTGTAGTATAGTGGAGTTGAGAGGAGTGGATCGGAGTGCAGGGGAATGGAATGGAATGGAGTGGCATGGAATGGAATGGAAAGGAATGGAATGGAATGGAATCGAATGGAGTCTAGTGGTGTGGAGTGGAGTGGAGTCGAATGGAGTAGAATTGAGTGGAGTGGAATGGAGGGGAATGGAATGGAATGGAATTCAATGGAACGGAAGGGAATGGAGTGGAGCGGAGAGGAGTGGACTGGAGTTGAGTGGAGAGGATTGGAGTGCAATGGAATGGAGTGGAATGGAATGGAATGGAGTGGAATGGAATGGAATGAACTGGAATGGAATGGAATAGAATGGGATGGAATGAACTGGAATGGAAGATAATACAGTGGAGTGGAGGAGAATGGAGTGTAGTGGAATGGAGCGTAGTGGAATGGAGTGGAAGGGAAAGGAATGGAATTGAGTAGAATGGAACGGAATGAAGTTGAGTGGAATGGAAAGGAATGGAATATCCACAAGCAGATTCTAAAAAAAGAGAGTTTCAAAACTGCTCAATCAAAAGAAAGTTTCTAATCTGTGAGATGAATTCACACATCACAAAGTAGTTTCTCAGAATGCTTCTGCATAGTTTTTATGTGAAGATATTTCCTTCTCCACTATAGGCCTCAAAAGGCTCCAAATATCCACTTGCAGATTCTAAAAAAATAGTGTTTCACAACTGCTGAATCAAAAGGAAGATTCGACTCTGTGAGGTGAATGCACAGATCACAAAGAAGTTTCTCAGAATGCTTCTGTGTAGTTTTTATGTGAAGACATTTGTTTTTCCACAGTAGGCACCAATGAGCACGAAATATCCACTTGCAGATTCTACAAAAAGCGTGTTTCAAAACTGCTCAATCCATAGAAAGGTTCTACTCTGTGAGGTGAATGCACACATCACAAAGTAGTTTCTCAGAATGCTTCTGCATAGTTTTTCTGTGAAGATATTTCCTTCTCCACTATAGGCCTGAAAAGGCACCAAATATCCACTTGCAGATTCTAAAAAAAGAGTGTTTCAAAAGTGCTCAATCAAAAGAAAGGTTCTACTCTGTGAGATGAATGCACACATCACAAAGTAGTTTCTCAGAATGCTTCTGCATAGTTTTTATGTGAAGATATTTCCTTCTCCACTATAGGCCTCAAAAGGCTCCAAACTTCCACTTGCAGATTCTAAAAAAAAGAGTGTTTCAAAAGTGCTCAATCAAAAGAAAGGTTCTACTCTGTGAGATGAATGCACAGATCACAAAGAAGTTTCTCATAAAGCTTCTGTGTAGTTTTTATGTGAAGATATTTGTTTTTCCACAGTAGGACCAAATGAGCTCCAAATATCCACTC